>NC_000001.11:203639132-203790647 GCF_000001405.40 Homo sapiens
CACTATTAACTCCATCCTTCCTTAGCAGCTGACTAAGTCAGGTTGGCTGCTGAGCTCTGATTTGGGATCTAAGAGTCAAGAGGGCGGGGCCACCATAATGTGACAGCACAGGCTGATTTGATTGCCAGAGCCAATCTGTCATTCATTTGCTTGTTCACTTATCCATTTATTTATCCAACAAACATGAAGCGAGCACAGACCATATGCCAAGCACTATGTTAAGGGTTTGGGAAGAAGTGGTATCCGGGAGGCAAAGGAAGGGCTCAGCATCACTGATGTTAAGCTCAGGGATGATTGTCCCAAGCCTGGGGACTCACAGCAAGCCCCGCTTGTTGGTAGTGCTCTAGGGAGTTTGCATCTGTTTCCCTGGAGAGCACATTTAACCCTTGACTTCAGGGAGGTAAGATCTAGACCCGACGCACAACTGAGCTGGTAGGGGCCTTAGATATCATTGCAGGGCAGCCCCTGGTGTTAGCAGTGAGACCATGGCCTGAATGGTAAAGGGCTTGCGCTTGTCCTTTGCTGAAGAAAGCCTTCTCCTGGACCAGGGCATGGTGCCGAAGCTGGGTGTGGGTCCAGCCTGGTTTATTCAGCCGCTCGGTTGGCCTCCCAGTGTTACCTGACTTTACCATCCCCTGCTTATATCCGGAGCCTCTGCCTCTGATGGGGTGGAGATGTTCTGTTGCTGGGATGCCCAGAGGAATCCAAATGGTACTGAGAAATAGAACAATACCTCTCCAGAGAAGCCCTCCAGTTCCTCCTCCAGTCTTTACCTCTCATTTCAGCCTCTTAATCCCTATTTTCAGAGGCAATGTGGTATAAAGGATAAAGGAGTGGATTTAGCTTCAGTTGGTACATGCTGTACACATCTGCACCTAGCCTGAGTTTTGCCCTCTTTAAAGTTTGTATAATATCGCCTTTCATTACTTACCCCATAGAGTGTTATGACAGACAAATAAGGTATTGTAGGTAAAAGCATCCCATAAACATTAAAGTGCTAGATATACGTAAAGCTTATTATTCCGGTGACCCCCTCTTCCTATTCCCCACTCTTCATCTCAGTTCCTTCTCTTGACTGCCCAACCCCTTGACCCCACTCCCAAGAACATCCTCCTGTTCTCTGTGTGTTCCCACTCCTGCTCTCACTGCATCCTCCCTCCTTGCTTAGATCAAGATCTAAAACACTTGTTGCATCCTTTTTTGAGACAGGGTTTCACTCCCATCGCCCAGGCTGGAGTACAGTGGCACAATCATGGCTCACTGCAACCTCAACTTCCTAGGATCAGGTGATTCTCCCACCTCAGCCTCCCTTGTAACTGGGACTACAAGTGCGTGCCACCATGCCCAGCTAATTTTTTTTTTTTGAATTTTTAGTAGAGGTGGGGTTTCGCCATGTTGCCCAGGCTGGTCTCAAACTCCTGGTCTCAAGCAATCTGCCCACCTTGGCCCCCCAGAGTGCTGGGATTAGAGGTGTGAGCCACTGCACCCTGCTCTTGTCACATCTTAAATAACAATGACATTGGTAGAAGTAATAATCGAGCTAACATTTATTATTTATGTGATAGGTATTAAACTTGAATCATCTCATTTAATATTCTCAGTGAACAGTGAGGTCGATATTAGCATTGTCTTCATTTTCCACATGATAAAGATGTTCATAAACCATAAGGCTAAGATGCACCCTTAGTTTAGCCCATTTATAGATTTCCTCTTTCCATGGCTGAGTGACTGACTGGTTGACAAGAACATGGGAAGTTTCAACAGCATTTATTGAATGTCGACTAAATGCCAGATGCTTCCAAATTATGTCACAACAACCACCTTCTGAGACAGGTACAGGCTTTTTCTTGGAGATCATCTGGTTGTGAGAATAGAAGCCTACTCAGAGAAGCAAAAGTAAAAGGGAGCTTTATTAGGCCATTACAGGGAAATAGCACAGAACTTAGGTGTGGGAAGTGTAGCCCCTCTGTGAGCCACACCTACATCCTGGAGCTGTAGCACTCTCTTCTTCACAGATGGGCTCCTGCTCTTTCATCCACAAGCACAGGACCCATTGTGGGTGAACCAGGCAGTAGGTTCCATCTGTCAGTCCATGTGGCCTTCCCACTTAGCTCTCCGAAGTAAATTAACTCGGTCTCTCAGTCCAAACGCCAACAGATGCTGATTCCAGCTTAGATCTGATGTCCTCTGCACTCCAGTGATCTGTGGCTTGTGGCAGGGGAGGGAGACTAATCAGGCCTATCTTTTTCATCAGGTCTAGGGGTGGGAGCAGACATTTCTAGAGGGAAAATTCATTGGCTTTAGGTTGATTCAACCCAACTACATTCTTCACCACACCAGACTCTCTCTAGGATATCTTAAAGATAATGCTCTGGTTGAAGCCCCTAAATAAGAGGGCATGCGAGTTGTCCCAGAATCTGTGGATTCAGCTGGGACTGGAAAAATAGTACTAACCATTTTTGAACCCTGCTTTGTGCCAGCCGATTAATATACATTATCTGTAATCCTTACTACACTCTTACAACATGCTATGGTTCCCATTTTACAGATAAGAAAGCTAACACTCCGTGAGTTAAATAGCTTGCCCAGAGATCATCTGGCTCATTAGGGTTGGGGCTGATATGTGACCCAGGCCTGACACCAAAGCTCACGGCCCTTCTAATACACAAAAAAAGGTTATTTACTCTCCTGGAAGATAAGCTCCATGAGAGCAATGGTCTTCGCCTTGCTCATTGATATATCCCAAGTGCCCAGAACAGTATTTGGCACATAGTAAGTACTCAATAAAAAGTTATTTAGTGGATTTTGCTTTGGTAACTTTTGTATTCCTAGGCTTCCCAATGTCAGAGGGAAAAATGACTCAGACAGTGGGCCACTGAGAACAGTGGGGTAACCCTCTGGGCGTGCTTCTGGTCCCTAACCCCCACAGCCTACTGTGTTTTGTTTTTGTTTTGTTTTTTGTTTTTAGAGACAGGATCTCACTTTTTCGCCCAGGCTGGAGTGTAATGGTGTCATCATGGCTCTCTGTAGCCTCCAACTCCTGGGCTCAAGGGATCCTCCCAACTCAACCTCCTGAGTAGCTGGGACTACAGGTGTGCACCACCACACCCAGCAAATTAAAAAAAAATTTTTTTTAGAAATGGGTCTTGCTATGTTGCTCAGGCTGGTCTCAAACTTCTGGGCTCAAGCAATCCACCTGCCTCTGCCTCCCAAAGTGCTGGGATTACAGGCGTGAAACACTGCACCTGGCCTCACAGTCTGCTTTGATGGGGGACATTAGGAGCAATATAGAAAAGTCTGAAAGAAAGTATGACCCTGGATTTATCTGTGTTTTCTGTTTGTATTTCTGACCTAAGCCATTTAGCCCTGTAAGAGGAGCAGATGAAAAGAGATTTCCTTAACACTGGAAAATCCATTTACTGGGACTAGGAAACAGGATGCTGAAGTCTTATATTGATATAGCAAAGAATGCTAATTTCCACTGGGTTTTCAGCCCCGGGGGTCAGAGCTTACCAAATCCTGAATCCATTCCTGTGCCTTTCTGTATAAAAATGCCCTGTGTCCTAAATCACCTAGTTGGCCTTCCAATCCCAGCAGGTGGTGTTATATAAAAGTGCAGATTTGAGGGAGTCTGATGGAACTGGATTCAAGTCTGGCTGGCCAGCTGTGTGACCGTGGACAAATTATTTAGGCTCTCAGACTCAATTTCCTCTGGAAAATATGAACACACACAAATGAAGAGTGATACATGTTCTGAGTGCCTGGCTCACTACTATGAGCCAGGGTAGTCATCGAATTTTAATTTTTCCTATCTTGTCCCTCCATTTCTCCCTTCCTTTTCCATGGAGCCTGGCACCAGCCTGCCCACCTGCTCCCTGCTAACCTTTGGGCTCAGTACATTTATAAAAGGGTCATAGCCCACTGTCTCCCCGTAGCGAAAGGCCCAGAGGCCCCAGCCTCCTGCAACTCTCCATCAAAGGGCATGCAGGGGCTCCATCATTTCCATGAGACAGGTTACCCTCTTGGTGCCAGCTCTAGGGCTTTGCTTGATATTTGAGCAAGAAGAGTCCTGGTGAAATAAGGCAGAGTGGAGGGTAGAGAGCTGCAACCACCTCACCTTGTTTACTCGTGCCCTGCATTCCTCCCCTGGGAGTAGCGGCTGTAGAAGTCAATGCTGGGAAATCTCTTGTTGATGGAGGGAGTCAGACTGGGTGACAACACTACTTGTTTTTGTAGAAGCTGTAGCCCAAGGGTGCTATCACTATTTGGTCACCCAGATCAACTGTCAGCTGCACTGGAATTGAGCTGCCCCTGGATAAACAAGCAAGAGAGTCTCAGGCTGGAATCTCCCCTGCTTTTCCCAGCACACACCCACGCAGAGACTTTAGCTGGCAAGAAGTGGCAGCTTAGCCAAGATAATGCGTGAACCAGAACTTGCCTTTCCTGGCTGGAAGGGGCTTGGCATTAAGTGCAGTTCTTGCTCCTGCTTCCTATAGATCACTTAAGTGCTCCAGGCTCTCTTGGAACAGGGGGAATTCTCTGGTCCCCTCCCAGTTTCTCAGGGATGGCATCCAATGATGGGAGATGGTTTCAGATGCAGTGACTTGCAGACAAGGGTGTGAATATTAGCTGAGAGTTCATGTGAACAGGCTTATGGCAGCATGGTTTCTGAGATGCAGCGACTTGTTGGTTTTGGCTGCAGCGTTTTCACTGAGCCCACTCATCAGCCTGCAAGCTACTTGAAAGGAGAGTGATGCTTTAGTCATTCCTATATACTCGGTGTTTAGCACAGTCTTTGGCTCATAGAATGAGGATCAGTAAAGAACGGATAGATGGGCCGGGTGTGGTGGCTCATGTTTGTAATCTCAGCACTTTGGGAGGCCGAGGAGGGTGGATCACCTAACATTAGGGGTTCGAGGCCAGCTTGGCCAACATGATGAAAACCCATCTCTACTAAAAGTACAAAAATCAGCCAGATGTTGTGGCAAGTGCCTATAGTCTCAGCTACTCAGGAGACTGAGGCAGGAGAATTGCTTGAACCCTGGAGGCAGAGGTGGCAGTAAGCCGAGATCATGCCATGGCACTCCAGCCTGGGCAGCAGAGCAAGACTCCATCTTAAAAAAAAAAAAAAAAAAAAAAGAATGCTTGGATGGATGGATGGATATAAACAAATAGAAAATTTTCTCTAAACAAACAGACCACAGTGAACTTTACCTTCTTCCTTCCCAGGGCCACCCTCCCTGCTCAAAACCTCATCATCTCATGCCTGAATAATTGCAAAGCCTTCCTAATGACAGGCAGGGTGGTCTAGAGAAGTGAGTTCCAGACTGGAAGTTGGGAAACCTGGAACTTGAGCCACTTAAGTTGTTCTGTCACTTTTGGGAAATCACTGAACCTTTCTGGGCTTCAATTTGTTCAGATGTAAAATGAAGAGTTAGGGCTAAATGTACTTCTAGGATGTTTCAACTCTAACATTCTCTGCTTCCTCCTACCCAAACAATGCTGCAGATTAATTATAGTTGGGTACCAACATTTAAAAGTAAGATCTCACTGCTGTCTTGCTCAGCTGGGCTTCAGTGACAGAGACTGGTGACATCTTCCTAGGAAGTTGGTGACCGGAGTTGAAACAATGGCCAGTTCCCCAGGAGACTTGGCTTAGGAATTGGTCTCCTAGAATTATTGAGCCCTTATCTAAGGAAGCTCCACCTTTCACTCTCCCTCTTCAAACTCATGCTGGGAGCTTGTGCGGCTCCCTGCAGCCCCGCTCTGTATGACTCTATGTGGCCACTATGCCAAGGTGGAGAGGAGGTCTGGACTGCATTTGGAATCCTGGTAATGGTGGTGATTCTCTTTTTACTTCTTTGTGGTGTCCAACATCCTCTAGTGTCACTGGCACAAAACAGGTCAGGCTATTGGAAGGCCACACTGCTTAACAACAATGTCAGGAGATCCAGGCTCTCAGCTATATTCAGATTAGTGAAGTGTACATTCTCCTAACTTGCTCAGCTTATCTCCTGCACCTAGTGCTATAAACAGTTGTGTTTCAGAGCTCCCCAGGCTGGCCAAATCCATAGTTCCAATCCCCAAAGTCCCTTGTCTAAATGGGGTCTAACTTCCGCCCCAGTTTAACCCAGGGCTGTTTCTGACTCAGCCCCTGTCATCCTGCCTGGGCCCTAGGCAACACTGCCTCTCTAATGCCCTAGCCAGACAGAGCATTCCTGTTTACCCAACTCACAGACTCTCCCTACTTTCTGAGTTATATGCTTTTCTTCTGCTAGTTGCTTTATAGCTTGGTCCATTATTCTGTGATCTAATCTACCTAGTTTTGTGAGGGGTTTTTTTATTTTGTTTTGTTTTTCATTTAAAAAGCATCTATATTTTCTTTCATCAGCTTTGCATTTATCACAGTCATCACTCCTCATTCAACACCCTTCCCAGCTTATACTCCCTTTTCTTTCTTTTTTTTTTTTTTTTCTGGAGATGGAATCTTACTCTGTCACCCAGGCTGGAATGCAGTGGCATAATCTCGGCTCACTGCAACTCCGCCTCCTGGGTTCAAGCGATTCTCCTGCCTCAGCCTCCCAAGTAGCTGGAATTACAAGTGCCTGCCACTGTGCCCGGCTAATTTTTGTATTTTTAGTAGAGACAGGGTTCCACCATCTTGGTCAGGATGGTCTTGAACTCCTGACCTCGTGATCCATCTGCCTCAGCCTCCCAAATTGCTGGGATTACAGGCGTGAGCCACCGTGCCCGGCCGTATATTGCCTTTTCATAGGAACGTTGACATAGTTAAACCCTACCTTATCGTATGATCATTCTTGTTTCAGCCACTTTTAGAGACACCACGTTTCGAGGAGGGCTTTTGTTGTTTTCTCGGTGTACTTTAATCCAAATGGCAAATTTTTAGCCAGGTGGTTATTTTTTAAGAATATTTACTTTTTTTCCAGAGTATAAAAGTAATATGTAAAAAGGATCTCACATATACTGAGCACTTACTATATTTCAGGCACCAAGACACATGCTAAAACTGCATGACCTCATTCCCTCCTCATGACAATCCTAATAAGGAAGGAGTCATTCCTATCTTCCCTTTCAAAAAAAGAAAGTAAGGCTCAAGAGATAAAATACTTTTATCCAAGTTCCCACAGCTACCAAGTGGTGGTTGTGGAATTCAAACCATGGCTCTCAAACTTCAGAGTCCAAGGGTGCAGTGGCACGTGTCTGTAGTCCAGCACTTTGAGAGGTTGAGGCAGAAGAATTGCTTGAGTCCAGGAGTTTGAATCCATCTTGGGCGATATAATGAGAACCCATCTCTAAAAAATAAAAAATATAAAAATAAAAAAACAGTCGACCAGGCACAGTGGCTCACGCCTGTAATCCCAGCACCTTGGGAGGCCAAGGTGGGTGGATCACCTGAGGTCAGTGTTCAAGACCAGCCTGGTTAACATGATGAAACTCCATCTCTGCTAAAAACACAAAAATTAGCCAGGCGTGGTGGCACATACCTGTAATCCCAGCTACTTGGGAGGCTGAGGCAGGAGAATCACTTGAACCTGGGAGGCGGAGGTTACAGTGAGCCGAGATTGTGCCACTGCACTTCAGCCTGGTGACAGAGCGAGACTCCATCTCAAAAAAAATAAATAAAAATAAAAAAAGATTCTGAGCTATGTACTGCCTCTACACAGGATCATCCTAGAAAGTGTGGAATATTCAGAAAAGCATGAAGAGAAAACTAAAACGTTCACAAGTCCAGACATAACTGCTAACATTTTGGTGTAGTCTCTTTTAGTCTTTTATATACGTGGGTGAGTATATACATTTTTTAAACAAAATTGGGAACACGTTGCATAATAAGATTTTGATTTAATTTTTTTTTCCTACCCAATACTAGATCATGAGCATTTTCCCACATCATAAAGAATTGGTCACAAGTCAGCCCCAAACATAGTCCAGTGGAATCCAATGATAGCAGGCAACCAGAGGCAAAGTATCTGTGGTTTTAGAAGGGAAATAAAGAAGCTGATGGGCTGGGCACAATGGCCCATACCTGTAATCCCAGCACTTTGGGAGGCTGAGGCTTGAGGCCAGGGTTTTAAGACCAGTCTGGGCAACTTAGTGAGACTCCGTCACTTAAAAAAATAAAAAATAAAAAAATTAGCCAGGTGTGGTGATGCACACCTGTAGTCCCAGCTACTCAGGAGACTGAGGCGGGAGGATCCCTTGAGTCCAGGGCTTTGAGGCTGTAGTGAGCTCTGATTGCACCACTGCGCTCCAGCCTCGGCAATAGAGCAAGAACTTCTCTCTAAAAAAAACAGAAAATAACAACAACAACAAAAAAAACAAACGGCTGGACACAGTGGCTCATGTCTATAATCCCAACACTTTGGGAGGCAAAGCGGGAGAATTGCTTGATCCCAAGAGTTCGAGACCAGCCTGGGCACCATAGTCAGACCCCATCTCTACAAAAAGTATGAAAATTAGCTGAGCGTGGTAGTGCATGTCTGTGGTCTCAGTTACTCGGGAGGCTGAGGTGGGAGGCTTGCTTGAGTCCAGGAGGTTGAGGCTGCAGAGAACCAAGATCGTGCCACTGTACTCCACCCTAGGCAACAGAGGGAGACTCTGTCTTAAAAAATTTAAATATATGAAGAAATGATTAGGAAAAAAAAAAGTGCTGATGGCCATAGCCTTTGCTTTGGAAGCTGACCACCTGGAGCCAGCCTAGGTGGTGCACAGGGTCTGATCCTGGGATGAGAAATCAGAGAGGGGAGAAGGCTTGGAACTCTTGGGTCACCTTTGGGAGGTACTTTCCTCTATGTGTCTGGATCTCACATGAAGGTGTGAGAAGATGGGCAGGCCAACTTGTGTTTGAAGTGGGAGTCAAAATGTAAAGTGGCTTTTACACAGGCTCAGCTAAAGGCCAGGCTTCTAGAATAAGATGTGGAACACCCTAAATAAAGCCCCCTGTAAATCTGTGAGTGAGATTACTCATTCATGGTGGAGAGGCTGGCTCCTGCTGGTGATTTGGGTTCTCATGCTGGCCTGTGATTGGAGAGAACCATAAAGATTTCCTGCCTTCATTCTCTTAAATGTATATGTGTGAAAGAGAAGCTAAGTATATTTTATCTGCAGCTATATTTTTAAAGAAAAGAAGTGTTTTTTTTAAAAAAAAAATCCAAGAATAGCACAAGAAGGGGCAGAGAGAAAGGAAGATCTGGAGGCTGTCACCAGCCAAAAGATAATTAGCAACCATGGGGCTGGGGACAAAGACAATGTCTAGTGTCTATGATGGGACACTAGATGGGAAAGTCCCTGTGCTTGTGGTGGGCCACTTGACACCCCTTGGCAGTTAGGTGGCTTTGGAATGACAGCCCGAGGTGCCAGCCTCTTGGAGGTTGTACCAACTGACTGCTACAAATTCAAGAGTGATAAAGAGTACTGGTGGCCTCCATGACAGATACAGGCTTGTCCAAGGCACCTGTTCGGTGCAGGATCCAGGGCCAGGACATGGAGTCTTGGGTTCACCCATGAGCTGGTACCACCTTTTGCCATGACTCTGGGGAAGGCTTGGGCTACTCTGTGCTCGTAGTTTGTCCCCTGGCCCATACCAAGGTTTCACCCCTCCACCTTCCTCCTTTCTGGGCATCTTGAGGACAGAAATGAGAAAAATGGAGAGAGATGCTTTGGGTTTCCATTATGAATATAGAGAGTTTTTCATCATTACATTGGTTATCTCAGAACCTCAGGGGTAACCAATGTAATGCAATGCATGGGAAGGAAATGGGGTATTATTGTTGAACATGCCACTTAACTGCTGCAGCCTTTTCACTCTCCTTAAAATATCAGATAATATCCTCTTGAATACCTTACAGGGTAAGGTAAGTGACAAGAATCACTTGAAATACTGGATATGAAAGTGCTTTGTATATCATGGAGTGCCTACAAATATACAGATTCGTATTTATGGAGATTTTTGCATGGGAAAGTCCCTCCTTACTCCCCTGAGGTTGGGGAGACCATTCATTTCTCCAGCTCCTATAAAATTTGAGTCCTCTTTCTTGAGTAGGGTGGCTTCTCTCCACGCTGTAGAATGGGAGAGTGAATTCCAGTTAAGTGCGAATGATGTGTTCAAAGTGGGTGAAAAATCTTGGAATCTTGGGGCATTAAAAAGAATTCCTTAATTTATTTCCATTCTTGACCAAGCTAGTAGGTAACAGTGTGACCTTGAGCAAGTCACTTAACCTCTGAGCCTCACTTTTCTCATTCGTCATTAGTTTGTATCCACAAATGATAGTTATGATAATCTAAGGAGAGAGTATGGAATCTAAATGGAAGTGCTTTGAAAAGTTAAAAGTGCTTCACTTTAGGGTGGGCGTAGTGGTTCACGCCTATAATCCCAGTTCTTTGGGAGGCTGAGAATAGCTTGAGCCCAGGAGTTCGAGACCAGTCTGAGTAACATGGGGAAACCCCATCTCTACCAAAACCAAAACAAACAAAACAAAACAAAACAAAAAAATAGCCAGGCCTGGTGATGCATACCTGTAGTCCCAGCTACTCAAGAGGCTGAGGTGGGAGGATCACTGAGCCCAGGAAGGTTGAGGCTGCAGTGAGCCTTAATCATGCCACTGTACTCCAGCCTGGGCAACAGAGACCCTGTCTAAAAAACAAGCAAAAAACCAAGTGCTGTACTTTACAGACCAGAAAAATTGAGGTCACGGAAACTCCACAGCCCCCACTCGTACCCGGCCAGGCATGTCACACTCGCCACTCTGGGGCCCAGGGTCCCCATACGCTAAGTAGGGTGTGCTCCAGGTTACCTCCCCTTCTTCCAGAGCTGCTGAGGACTAATGAGAACACTCACTTGTAGACGCTGTAATAGCCTGTTTTGAAGCATCTCAGATTTACCCCAGCCTTCCCTTCCATGGTGATGTAAACGGAGTGGCTTTCACGCACACATCCCAGAACCAGCCCAGTTTTTGCCCTTGTCCTCTGACATAATGCATGCATTGATCAATAGACATTTATCAAGCATGCCTGCCCCGTAAAGCTTGGAGCGAGGCCCTGGTCCCCTGGGTTTTGGCAGCTCAAGGACGGGCGCTCCCGGGGAAGCTGTGCTGAGAAGTCGGCTGAGCCACTGAAGCCACAGGGTTTGGTTTCAGGGAGGCCAGGTGAGGGGCAGGGTGAGAACTGGGAGGGTTCCCCAGGTGTGTTCCCCGGGTTGTGGTGTGGTGTGATGTGGTGGGGGACAGGACGAGGGTCCCTGGGGAGGGAGAGAGGTGCTTGGCTGGCTGGGTCGAGTGAGTCATCGGCCCCCTCTGAGCAATCGCTGCTGCCCAGGTGGAGTCGGCCCGCCTTATTTGGGGCTTCTGTGCTGAGCCAGGCCTCCAGGGCTAAGGCGTTTGTTTCCCCAGCTGCTTCCCGGGCCGCGCTGGTAGCCAGCTGAGCCCGGCGCCTGCGGCTGAGTTGCACCGCGCAGAGGCCGGGGGAGCTGCAGGTCCGAACTCGGCCGGCCCGGGGCGAGGGCGGGCGGGGAGCGGGGCGGGCTAGGGCGAGCGAGGCTGCCACACCCCCGGGACTCGCTGGTGCGAGGCTCAGCATGCCGGCTGCGGAAGTCCCGCACAGGGCAGCTTCCAGGCCTCCTGTCCCTAGAGCAGTAAATGCAGATCAGCACTTCTGCCCCTCACTGTACTCCCACTCTCATCCCCTTCCTCCCTCTACCACCACCAAAAGGCCAGAATTTTTAAGTTGATTGATATTTTTTTATTAGGATAATAAAGTCAGATGCAGTATATTGTGTATGTTTTTTTGTTTCGTGTTGCGTTTTTGTAGAGATGGGGTCTCACTGTGTTGCCCAGGCTGCTCTCTTAATTCCTGGGCTCTAGTGATCCTCCTGCCTCGGCCTCCCAAAGTGCTGGGATTACAGGCATGAGCCACCATGCCTGGCCTTGACTGTGTTGTTAAATGGCTATTTTAGACCATGAAATTTTCAACAAAAGTTCTTATTTAAGAGTCTTGATATTTTTAGATAGTTCCATGGCTGTCTTTGATCATACAAGTTAAAAAATGTTGCTGGTAGAAATAGGAACCATTTTTTTTCTTCTCTCTCTCTGTCTCTGTCTTTCATTTCTAGTTCTATCTCTTTTGTTTATTTCTCAGATGCACAAAATTGGATGAGTCAAAATCTACAGTTCATTTTCTTGACTGGTTTATGCATGCCTCGCTTTTACTGCTTATTTATATATGCTATTAATGTTTTTTATTAACCTAATGAACACACTTGAACCCACCACCCAAAAATGAGATCACTATCATTTATTTGCATCCACCTATGACCCTTTCCTATCCCATCCCCCCACCTCATCACCCAGCCAAACCACTGTCTTGGGCTGTAATGTTGTATTCACCATTCTCTTGATAACCATATGTATGCCTAAAGAAACATATTATTTGTACTTGCTTTATATGCTTTATCTAAAAAATATACTAGCTGGGCACAGTAGTACGCACCTGCAGTCCCAGCTACTCAGGAGGCTGAGGCAAGAAAATCACTGAGTCCAGGAGTTTGAGGCTGCAGTGAGCTTTGATTGCACCACTGCACTCCAGCCTGGGTGACAGAGTGAGCCTGTATCTAAATATATGAACACACGGCTAGGCACGGTGGCTCATGCCTGTAATCCCAGCACTTTGGAATGCCGAGGCAGGGGGATCACCTGAGGTCAGGAGTTCGAGACCAGTTTGGCCAACATGGTGAAACCCCGTCTCTACTAAAAATAAAAAAAAATTAGCCAGGCATGGTGGTGGGACGCCTGTAGTCCTAGCTACTCAGGAGGCTGAGGAGAGTCTCTTGAATCTGGGAAGTGGAGGTGGCAGTGAGCCAAGATTGTGCCACTGCACTCCAGCCTGAGTGACAGAGCGAGACTCTGTCTCAAAAAAAAAAAAGCAAAACAAAACCCTTTAGAGACAAACAAAAACAGAGGTTTCTACCAACAGACTACTCCACTAAAGCAACTTCTTCTTTTTTTTTTTTTTTTCTGACACAGAGTCTCACTCTGTCCCCTAAGCTGGAGTGCAGTGGCACAATCTCAGCTCACTGCAGCCTCCGTTTCCCAGGTGCAAGCGATTCTCCTGCCTCAGCCTCCCAAGTAGTTGAAATTCAGGCACGCGCCTCCATGCCCGGCTAATTTTTTTGTATGTTTAGTAGAGACGGGGTTTCGCCATGTTGGCCAGGCTAGTCTTGAACTCCTGACCTCAAATGATCCTCCCACCTCGGCCTCCCAAAGTGCTGGGATTACAGGCGTGAGCCACTATGCGAGGCCTACTAAAGCAACTTCTAAAAGAAATAATTCAAAAGAAGAAAAATTATAAGCATACCTTATTTTATTGTACTTCAGACACTGCCTTTTTATTTTATTATTAAATAAATTGAAGGTTTGCGGCAACCCTGTGTTGAGCAAGTCTGTTGACGCCATTTTTCTATCAGCATGTGCTCATTTCATGTCTCTGTGTCACATCTTGGTAATTCTCATGATGTTTCAAAGTTTTTCATTATTATTATATGTGTTATGATGATTTGTGATCAGTGATTTTTTGGTGTTACTAATAGAATTGTTTTGGGGTGCTACAAATGGTGCCCATATAAGGCAGCAAACAATCAACAAATGTGTATGTTCTGACTGCCTCACTGACGAGCTGTTCTTCATCTCTCTCTTTCTCCTGGGGATTCCCTATTCCCTAAGACACAACAATATTGAAAGTAGGCCAGTTAATAACCCTACAATGGCCTCTAAGTGTTCATGTGAAAGAAAGAGTCACAGGTCTCTCACTAGAAATCAAAAGCTAGAAATGATTAGGCCTACTGAGGAAGTCGTGTTGAAAGCTGAGATAGGCCCAAAGCTAGGCCTCTTGTACCAGTTAGCCAAGCTGTGAATAAAGGAAAATGTTCTTGAAGGAAATTAAAAGTGCTACTCCAGTTAACACACAAATGATAAAAAAGCAAAACAGCTTTATTTGCTGACAGGAAGGAAGTTCAAGTGGTCTGATTAGAAGATCAAACCAGCCACAACATTCCCTTAAGTTGAATCCTAATCCAAGGCAAGATCCTAAATCTCTTCAATGTTGTGAAGGTTGACAGAGGGGAGGAAGCTGCAGAAGAAAAGTTAGAAGCTAGCAGAGCTTGGTTCTTGAGGTTTAACGAGAGAAGCTGTCTCCACAACGTAAAGGTGAAGCAGCAAGTGCTGACATAGAAACCACAGCAAGTTAGTCGGAAGATCTAGCTAAGATAATTGGTGACAGTGGCTATGCTAAACAACAGATTTTAATGTAGGCAAAACAGTCTTCTCTTGGAAAAAGATGCCATCTACGACTTTCATAGCTAGAAAGGAGAAGTCAATGCCTGGCTTCAAAGTTTCAAAGAACAGGCTGACTTTCTCATTAGGGGCCAGGGCAGCTGGTGACTTCAAGTTAAAGTCAATGTTTACCATTCTGAAAATCCTAGGGTCTTTATGAATTTTCCACCCCTCAAGGTTCAAGTGATTCTTCTGCCTTAGCCTCCTGAGTAGCTGGGATTACAGGCACCCGCCACCACGCCCTGCTAACTTTTATATTTTTAGTAGAGACGGGGTTTCACCATATTGGCCAGGTTGGTCTCAAACTCCTGACCTCAAGTGACCCGCCCTCCTTGGCCTCACAAAGTGTTGGGATTACAGGCGTGAGCCACCACGCCAGGCTTCTAGGGCCTTTAATAATTATGCTAAATCTATTCTGCCTGTGATCTATCAAAGAAACAACAAAGCTTGGATGACAGCTCATCTATTTACAGCATGGTTTGCCAAATATATATATATATATATATATATATTTTTTTTTTTTTTTGAGATGGAGTTTCGCTCTTGTTGCCCAGGCTGGAGTGCAATTGTGCGATCTCAGCTCACTGCTATGTCTGCCTCCCGTGTTCAAGCAATTCTCCTGTCTCAGCCTCCCGAGTAGCTGGGATTACAGGCGCATGCCCCCATGCCTGGCTAATTTTTGTGTTTTTAGTAAAGACAGGGTTGCATCATATTGGTCAGGCTGGTCTCGAACTCCTGACCTCAGGTGATCTGCCCACCTCGGCCTCCCAAAGTGTTGGGATTACAGGTGTGAGCCACCGTGCCCGGCCAGTTTACCAAATATTTTAAGCCCACTGTTGAAACCTACTCCTTTCAAAATACTACTGCTCATTGACAATGTACCTGGTCACCCAGGATCTCTGATGGAGACATACAAGGAGATGAATGTTGTTTTCATGCTTGCTAACACAAAATCTATTCTGCAGCTCATGGAACAAGGAACAAATTTGACTTTCAAGTCTTATCATTTAAGAAATGTATTTTGTAAAGCTATAGCTGCCATAGACAATGATTCCTCTGATGGATCTGGGCAAAGTGAATTGAAAACCTCTGGAAAGAATCCACCATTCTAGAGGCCATTAAGAACATTCAAGGGCTGGGAATGGTGGCTCATGCTTGTAATCATAGCATTTTGGGAGGCTGAGGCATGAGGATCACTTGAGCCTAGGAGTTTGAGACCAGCCTGGCAACACAGGGGGACCCTGTCTACAAAAAGTGAAAAAGTTAGTCAGGCATGGTGGTGTGCTCTTGTGCTCTCAGCTACTCAGGAGGCTGAAGTGAGAGGATCGTTTGGGCCTGAGAGGTCGAGGGTGCAGTGAGCCATGATTGTGCCACTGCACTCCAGCCTGGGTGACAGAGTGAGACCTCGTCTGGAAAAAAAAAAAAAAAAAGGAAAGAAAAAGATATTCATGATTCATGGAGGAAGTCAAAATATCAACATTAACAGGAGTTTGGAAGAAGTTGATTCCAACCCTCATGGCTGACTTTGAGGGGCTCAGGATTTCAGTGGAGGAAATAACTGTAGATGTGGTGGAAATAGCAAGAGAACTAGAATTAGAAGTAGAACCTGAGGATATGACTGAATTGCTGCCATCTCATGATAAAACTTGAACAAATGAGGAGTTGCTTTTTAGGAATGAGCAAAGAAAGTGGTTTCTTGAGATGAAATCTACTCCTGTTGAAGATGCTGTAAATACTGTTGAAGTGACAAAGGATTTAGAATATTACATAAACATAGTTGATAAAGCAGCTGCAGGGTTTGAGAGGACTGACTTCAATTTTGAAAGAAGTTCTACTCTGGGTAAAATGCTGTCAAATATCAGTCCTTCATGGGGATGTAAAAAAAAAGAGGCCAGGCACGGTGGCTCACGTCTGTAATCCCAGCACTTTGGGAGGCCAAGGCAGGCGGATCACCTGAGATCAAGAGTTGGAGACCAGCCTGGCCAACATGGAGAAACCCTGTCTCTGCTAAAAATACAAAAATTAACCAGGTGTGGTGGTGCGTTCCTGTAATGCCAGCTACTTGGAAGGCTGAGGCAGGAGAATTGCTTGAACCTGGGAGGTGGAGGTTGCAGTGAGCTCAGATCATGTCAGTGCACTCCAGCCTGGGCAACATAGCAAGACTCCATCTCAAATAATAATAATAATAATAAATAAAATAAGAAACAAAAGGAAGAAAAGGAAAAAATGCTGTCAAATAGCATCATATGTTATAGAGAAGTCTCACTAAAAAGTCAATCAATGCAGCAAACTTTATTGTTGTCTTATTTGAAGAAATTGTCACAGCTACCCCACCCATCAGCAAGCAGCCATCCACATTGAGAAAAGACCTCTCCACCAGCAAAAAGATTACCACTTCCTGAAGGCTCAGATGATCATTAGCGTTGTGTTTTGTTTTGTTTTGTTTCTGAGACGGAGTCTTGCTCTGTTGCCCAGGCTGGAGTGCAACGGTGCGATCTCGGCTCACTGCAACCTTCGCCTCCTGGGTTCAAGCGATTCTCTCAACTCAGCCTCCCGAGTAGCTGGGATTACATGTGCCACCACGCCCAGCTATTTTTTTTTTTTTTTGGTGATTATAGATTAATATAATATACAGCCATCCTTAAAGCCACAACATATCACAGATCACAAAAGTGCTTTCACCAAGTTACAACCCTAACACCTTACTTTTTTATGTCATCTAACTGCAAATAAGTTTCTCCTCAGAGAATCAGTGCAGTCTTCTTTATCCTTTTAAAACTTAGCTGGAGCTGCTTAAACTAATTCTTAATACCATTCTGAAACTAGAAATATACTGTTTAGAACACAGAAATGCTAAGAAAGTACAAAGACTTTAGTATTTTTTTTCATTTTCATGATTCAAGTAGAAAACAGTGCCAAGTAGGTATTATTCTACATGGTAAATGGAAGAAAAAAATGTTTAGAATGTGAATTCACTAGACCTTTGCGGTATTCAGAAGTTAAGGATTTCACAGGTGAAAAGATTTCTCTAAGAGTTCTGAACTTTGCGTCTTCTCACATACTTTTAGTGTAAACACTGTAAACTTAACATCTGTATTAATGCTGTCTTTTTAGGATTAATGAATAACGAGGTAGAAGATACTTCATTTAAATTCTCAGACACATAATTAAGTGTGTATTAACCTTTTTGAAAGGCATTTTCAACGGAACTGGTGGTTTTTCAGGAAATTGCTGAATACCCACGCATAAATGCAGATATTGATGAAGTAGGATATTTGTATATTTGCTTTTTTTCAATCATTCAATTTTATGAACATGGGGTCTAAGCAGATTTCAAAACAAAGACCATTTATAAAACTGGACCATTTTAATGTTTACAATGTAATAAATCTCTTGATTGCAGACATATATGGCTGTTTGGTAGAAACATTACAGTAATGGCAGTTTTTTCAGTTGGTGTGTAGTCCCCAATAATTATATATGAAATTGCTGTCAAACCAGTAAGACTGCATTTATGCAGCCATCATTTTCAGGACTGTTGGTAACCTGAGCATATTTTCTCCAAATAACTTTGCCTCCTTGTGTCACAAGGCCCAATTCGCTCACATTTACCTCAATGACAATATCTTTGGTAATAACACCCACAGTTGTATACGGTGGGGATGAGGGATTCTTCTTTACACCAAGTATTGGTGGGCAAAAGGTGGCTTTCAGTTCAAGATGTAATACATGGGCTTTCTTGAAATGCATATTGGCCTGATCAGTCTTTCTTATTTAGGTGGTTTTCTTGTAAAGCCATCTCCGACAAAGCAGAGTTTAGTAACCACCCTCTTCCATGCCTTCTTCTTTCTCTTTCCTGTTCAAACAACTTTTAATACGTCTGTTTCTCCCTGGGCATGTACTTTAGTCAGAGGGACTTCCCGTTTTCCCACCTTCTCTTTTCATTTCTGTTTAATCATATTGGAAAGTACTTTGGCTCGAGATTGTCCCTCTCTGTCCAGCAGATAAGCAGGTACTGCTCCCTGTGGAGTCTTTTCATCCTTCTTTTGTTTGGTGTTTCTCTTTTCATGCATCTTGATAGTCTTTTTCATTTGTATTTTCTCAGCATGACACTGTTTAAGGTAAAGCTTAGCCTTCAGACCAATCATTTGCTTTGCCTTCTTTGAACGTTCATGAGCCTCTCGTTCATAAGCCTCTCAGCTTTCCTTCTTTCTTTTCTTCTCATGGTAATCCAAACGGTATCCATAGTGTTTATGGTGTAATTCAATATATTCGTTCTGTGGCATGGTGACAGGCGCAGAACCACCAGGAGTAGCCCCTGAGGTGCGAAAACACTCTCAATTTTAAGGTCTCAGAGACTCCACGCAGGCCGGGACAGGAAAGGGTCACCCTTTTTTAAAAATATTTGTAGTAGAGACAGGGTTTCACCATGTTGGCCAGGCTGGCCTTGAACTCCTGACCGCAAGTGATCCGCCCCCCTCAACCTCCCAAAGTGCTAGGATTACAGGCGTGAACCACGGCCGATCATTAGCATTTTTAACACAAAATATATTTTAATTAAGGTAGTCACATTGTGTTTTTTAACCATAAAAACACTTAATAGACTATAGTATTGTGTACACATAACTTTTATATGCACTGAGAAACCAAAACAATAATAAATAACCAGGAACTTGCCTTATTGCAGTGGTCTGGAATCGTACCTGCAATGTCTCCAAGGTATGCCTGTACTAAAAGGAAAGTCTAAGATTCAAGAAGGGATGATGGACTGAGCACTGTGGCTCATGCCTTATAGTCCTAGCACTCTGGAAAACCAAGATGAAAGGATCTTTTGAGCTCAGGAGTTCAAGAACAGCCTGGGCAAAATAGAGAAACCTCATCTCTAATAAAAATTAAAAAAAAAAAAAAAAGCCTGGCATGATGATGCAGGCCTGTAGTCCCAGCTACTTGGGAGACTGAGGTGGGAGGATCACTTGAGCCCAGGAGATTCAGTCCGCAGTGAGCTATGATGGCGCCACTGCACTCCACCCTGGCCAACAGAGGGAGACCCTGTCTCAAAAAAAAAAGAAAAAAAGAAAAAGAAACGAAGACGGGATGATGAGCAAATAAAATGGTAAACATGGAGTGAAATCTAAATATTGATGTCAAAGACAAGAAATATCAGAAATATAACAATGTCTAATTGATAGGAATAAAATGAAGATATAATTTAAATCCTCAGTAACTATAGTATATAAATTGGAAGGTAAGGCCAGGCATGGTGGCCCATGCCTGTAATCCCAACACTTTGGGAGGCTGAGGCGGGTGGATCACAAGGTCAGGAGATCGAGACCAGCCTGGCCAACATGGTGAAACCCCGTCTCTACTAAAAATACAAAAATTAGCTGGGCGTGGTGGTGTGTGCCTGTAATCCCAGCTACTGAGGAGGCTGAGGCAGGAGAATTGCTTGAACCCAGGAGGTGGAGGTTGCAGTGAGCCGAGATCGCGCCACTGCACTCCAGCCTGGGTGACAAAGTGAGACTGCGTCTGAAAAAAAAAAAATTAGAAGGTGAATATAGTAATTGGAGTTTAAGTGTTCTAAGGTCCTTATATTTTCTAGGGAAAAAATTAAAGATATTGCTTATTAGAAGTCTTTATGTTAAGATTTCTAGGCTAATACTAAAAAACTTGGTATAATATAACTTCCAAACTAGCAGAGGGGAAGAAAAATGAAAAGGAAACACAAATGAAAATGATAGAAAATGTGTCAGTTAAAAAAAAATTTATGGTTGTGATATCGAAGAAAATAATAAAGATTACCATTTCTTGAGTAGCTCTTGTATTAATCACTTTGAATCATTAATCTTTATAATTTCATGTAATATATGTCAGAATGACAAGCCCAAAGCAGGTATTTAAAAATTATAGTTTCTGGCCAGGTGCAGTGGCTCACACCCATAATCCCAGCACTTTGGGAGGCAGAGGTGGGAGGATCACTTGAGCCCAGGAGTTTGAGACCAGCCGAGACCACACAGCAAAACGTTGTCTCTACAAAAACATTTGAAAATTAGCCAGGCATGGTGGCACACCCCTGTAGTCCACAAAGGAGGCTGAGGTGGGAGGATCACTTGAGCCCAGAGGCTGAGGCTTCAGTGAGTTCTGATCATGCCACTGCATTCCAGCCTGAGTAACAGAGCAAGACCCTGTCTCAAAAAATAAAAATAAAAATTAGCTAGGCATGTGGGGGAAGCCTGTAGTTCTAGCTACTGGGGAGGCTGAAGCGGGAAGATTGCTCCATCCAGCCTGGTTGGCAGGGTGAGACCCTGTTGCTAAAAAAAATATATAAAAAGCTGGGTGTGGTGGCTCACGCCTGTAATTCCAGCACTTTGGGAGGCCAAGGCAGGTGGATCACAAGATCAGGAGTTCAAGATCAGCCTGGCCAAAATGGTGAAATCCTGTCTCTACTAAAAACACAAAAATTAGCCGGGCGTGGTGGCAGGTGCCTGTAATCTCAGCTACTCGGGAGGCTGAGGCAGGAGAATCGCTTGAACCTGGGAGCTGGAGGTTGCAGTGAGCCAAGATTGTGCCACTGCACTCCAGCCTGGGCGGCAGAGCAAGACTCCATCTCAAAAAAAAAAAAAAAAAAAGAAAGAAAGAAAGAAAGAAACTTGTCCAAGGTCACAGAGCTTGGATTCCAATCCAAGTATTTGAAATTCAACCCAAGCTACTTTTCCCTTTACCATGTGGTAGATTTTTTCTCTCTAATGCCAAAACATCATGTAACAGCCAAGACCATGAGTTTTTTGGACCTGGGTTTATGGTCCAGTTTCACCACAAGTTAACTGCAGAGCTTTAGGCCTCAGTTCCTTCAGTTGTTGAAAGAGGATAAAAATAGCTATCACAAAAGGTAGTAGGTTGGAAGATCGTGAGAATGCACGCCATTGGGGTGAGAATGTATCACTTGGGGTGGTGGAGATAAAAAATGAGGTCCCAGTTCAATGTAACAGCCGATGAATAGGCTCCTAGGGAGCAGTAAGAAGAGAACGGAGGTGGGGGGTGGGGGGAGGCCTGGGCACAGTGGCTCACGCCTGTAATTCCAGCACTTTGGGAGACCGAGGTGGGCAGATCGTGAGGTCAAGAGATCGAGACCAGCCTGGCCAACATGGTGAAACCCCATCTCTGCTGAAAATACAAAAATTAGCTGGGCATGGTGTGAGCACCTGTAATCCCAGCTACTTGGGAGGCTGAGGCAGGAGAATTGCTTGAACCTGGGAGACGGAGGTTGCAGTGAGCCAAGATCGCACCACTGCACTCCAGCCTAGCAAGGGTGAGACTCTGTCTCAAAAAAATAAATAAATAAGAAGAAGAGCACAGGGACTGGGCACGGTGGCTCATGCCTGTAGTCCCAGCACTTTGGGAGGCCGAGGCAGGCGGATCACTTGAGGTTAGGAGTTCGAGACCAGCTTGGCAACATGGTGAAACCCTGTCTCTACTAAAAATACAAAAATTAGCCGGGCATGGTGGGGTGGCCCTCTAGTTCCAGCTATTTGGGAGGCCGAGGCAGGAGAATTGCTTGAACCCAGGAAGCAGAGGTTACAGTGAGCTGAGATCGCGCCACTGCACTCCAGCCAGAGCAACAAGAGAGAAACTTTGTCTAAAAAAAAAAAAAACTTTCCCAAGGTCAAATGGGTAGTGATCTGGGATTTGGGCTGTCTGTCCACAGAGCTTATGCTCTTAATCTCTGCACCATACTTTAAGAGGTGAATGATCACTGAGAAAGAGAGCTCTCATGTCTGGAAAGCACCTCAAAGGCAATATTATGAAAAAAGTGTGGCTTCTGCCAAAGTCGGGTTTGGATTCTGGCTTGGCTTCTTACTGTGTGAGCCTAGACAAAGTATTTAGCCAGTTTTCTCCTCTGTAAAATGGGAGTGATACGACCCATTTCCCAAGGTTGTTGAGAGGATCAAATGAGATACTAATACAGAGTGATCAAAAAGCCTGGAGACTTAGTTCCCCATCTTGGGTCAGGAAAGCCTTAGCTGTACCTGCTGTAACCAGGTGCCTGTGTTCTCTGAGCTGATGATGGGGTGACTTTGGGAGAGGAGAGGATGAACACAGATGCCTTTCTCCTGCTCTTTGAAAAGGTGATTTGTCTACCCTATGCCCACCACCCTCAATGCACTCCCACCATTGTCTCCTACCACACACAAGCATGCTGCATGGTATTCAGAAAGCCCAGTCTGTTTCTCCACCCCTTTGCCTTGTCACTCAGCTTTGCCAGGTCCCTTGAGTTCTTTGATGTTGTGCCAGGCTCTGTGTGGGCTCCCAGCCCTGGGCGTGTCTGTGGTGACTGACCTGTGCCCCACTGGCCTCCACCTCCATTACCACAATGGATCTGAACTCTCGGTGACAGCAGCTGCTGGTCCACATCTGGAATTTAGCTCTGCTCTTCCCTTCTCCACCCTTCTCACCTGTCTATACCAGGATGACTCTTCCATCTGCTCTTCTTCCTTCTCCTATTTTTATTTATTTATTTTACTGTGATAAAATATACAGAACATAAAATTTGCCATCTTCACCTTTTTTTTTTTTTGAGATGGAGTCTCACTCAGTTGCCCAGGCTGGGGTGCAGTGGCACGATCTCACTGCAAGCTCTGCCTCCGGGTTTCACACCATTCTCCTGCCTCAGCCTCCCGAGTAGCTGGGACTGCAGGTGCCTGCCACCACGCCCGACTAATTTCTTTTTGTATTTTTAGTAGAGACAGGGTTTCACCGTGTTAGCCAGGATGGTCTCGATCTCCGGACCTCATGATCCACCCGTCTCAGCCTCCCAAAGTGTTGGGATTACAGGCATGAGCCACCGCTCCCAGCTTATCTTAACCATTTTTAAGTAGACCGTTCAGTGGTACTAACTACATTCCCAGTGTAGGTTTCCCATCACCATCATCCATGTCTAGAACTTCTCCTTCATCCCAAACTGAAACTCTGTACCCATTAAACAATAATGCCCATTCCCCACTCCATCCAGCCTGTGGTAACCTCCACTCTACTTCCTGTCTCTATGAATTTGCCTATTCTACATACTTCATATGAATAGAATTATACTGTATTTGTTTGTGTGTGTGTGACTGGCTTATTTCACTTAGCATAATGTTTTCAAGGTTCATCCGTGTGGCAGCATGTGTCAGAACATCCTTCCTTGAATAATAATTCCATTGTATGGATGTGCCACACTTGTTTGTCCATTCATCTGCCCATGGAGGCCCTCCTTTTTTAAATCACATTTTTTGGGTATATCATAATTTGCAGTAATATGAAGAGAATAGCCTACTCTTTCCTTGTAGCAGGAAACTGAGGAGGGTCACTCTCCCAGATAGTGGAAGGCAGGTGGAATTGAGTGTGCTGTTTATAAACTCTGTCCTGAGGTTTTACTCTTCCAGAGGTCTCTTTTCTCGACAAATACTTAATGCGCATGACATCACCTGAACCCAGAAGTGCTAGCTAGAGAGAAGTGATTATCTGGGGCCAGAACCTTGCATTTGCTTGCCTTCCTAGGGAAAGACCCTATTGTTAACCCTGGAGATTCCCTCCTTTCAATGCTGAAGGCCTTTAAAGGGTCTAGAGACTGTAGAGCAACATTTTGTTTCCTGTTTATATTTTTTGGGTTTGTGTTTGCTTTTGTTTTTTGCATTTCTTCCCCTTGTCAGTCTTTGTCCTTCCTGGTCCTGATGCACTTCAATATTTCTGGATGTGCTGTACTATAATCATAGGCCTTCTTAATATGGGTGTATCCTGTCTTCTTTATTTAGAATTCTGCGGACTGGGAATTCCCTAAGGGAAAGAGCCTTCTTCCTTTCTTTTTCTAATCTTCCTCCACCCTTTTTTGTTCTCCTCCCTTTTGTACCTCCACAACACACCAGGAGGTGTACCGCCTCCATCTAGACCACAAACTGTACTCTCAGGGTACCCATGGCCAAGAAGAATGACACACACACACATCACACATACATTCAGCATGTCTCACTGTTACCTCTGAGAGGAAGTAGGAGAACCTATATTAATCCTCTGAGCTCATCAGGACAGGAATCCCCAGCTCCAATGTCCTGGGTTGGGCCTAGAATTATCCCACTATTTTCTACAGGCTGCTCTCTCTCTCTCTTTTTTTTTTTTTAAGCAAGGTCTTGCTCTGTCACCATGCTAGAGTGCAGTGGTGTGATCATAGCTTACCGCAGCTTCAAACTCCTGGGCTCAAGCAATCTTCCCTCCTCAGCCTCCTAAGTAGTGGGGACTACAGGCACATGCTACCACACCCAGCTAATTTTTTATTTTTTGTAGAGACGGTGTCTCACTGTATTGCCCAGGCTGGTCTCAAACTCCTGGCCTCAAGCGATCCTCCTGCCTCGGCCTCCTGAGTCTCTGGGATTACAGGCATGAGCCACTGTGCCCAGCCTCTTCTCTCCAATTTCTTTTAGGACCTTGTAGTATGGAGTATGCCTTAGCTTCTTCTAGGCTCTTCCTGTGGTTGCATGGCCTTAACTGAGTGAGTCACTTCACCTTTAAGACCATATGCTCTAAAATCTGTCAAAGAATGATATTGTCAGTCCTGTCTATCTTAAAAGATTGTTGCAAAGATCAAATGTCAGAGTGCTTTGAAAACTGTGAAGCATTATCCACATGTGAGTTCTTAACAGAGTTCCTTTACTCTCATGAACTCTTTCTGTCTTTTTACTTAGTCTTGCTGACACCACTTAAAAAGGAACCTCAGACAGATAGATTCCCCAGATATAGCTGCAAAAATTAGAGATTCTGGAGAAGTCTGGGAATGGGGAGTACCAATGTCCTCCTGGTACACAGAGCCAAGGGTCCAGATCCAGGACTGGAAAGTATAGGAACACGGTGGCCAGAGGCACGGGGAGGCTCTGACAGAGGGGCAGGAGCAGTTTGCCTCCACTGTTCAGTGGCTTCTTAAGATACTTGATCTTCATCCAAGGGCAAGGGCCTTTGCACATGAAAAAAGTAATAATCCTTTCAACTTTGGTATGGGGTAGATGACTTTTTGATCCCCATTTTTTTAGATGAGGAAATGAAGGCTCAGGGAGAATGGATTTGGAGGAGGTTTGGCTGAGAGGCACTGGTGCTACTTGGGAAGGACTTCATGGGAGAGCCTGTGAGCTGTGAGGGGCAGGAGCCTGGCCCGGGTGCAGGGGCCCCACGGGGCTGGCCACTTTGACATCTTCAGCTCTGGCTCTGGTGCATCCCCATGTCAAACTGGATTCACTACTGGTTTTCTTCCTTAGATATTTTTCAGGATTTGGTGACCCAAGGGAATGCCAGGTTGACAGTTAACTGCACCTGCTAGTCCTTAAGGTACTTTTATTTTATTTTATTTTATTTTTGAGACAGAGTCTCGCTCTGTCACCCAGGCTGGAGTGCAGTGGCGCGATCTTGGCTCACTGCAAGCTCCGCCTCCCGGGTTCACGCCATTCTCCTGCCTCAGCCTCCCGAGTAGCTGGGACTACAGGCGCCTGCCACCGCGCCTGGCTAATTTTTTGTGTTTTTAGTAGAGATGGACTTTCACCGTGGTCTCAATCTCCTGACCTCGTGATCTGCCCACCTCAGCCTCCCAAAGTGCTGGGATTACAGGCGTGAGCCACCGCACCCGGCCCTTAAGGTACTTTTAAAGATTTTAGAAAGGTGAATATAGCCCACAGGAGCAAGGCCCATCTGGCAAAACTTAGGGTGGATTTCATCTCCCAAACCACCTCCTTACCTGGTGCCCATGTTCAGGGCACATGCTACCTGACTGTATGTAGCAGCTCTGAAAAGAGAAGGTTCCCCTCTGCTCAGGGTGAGCCCTTAGTGGGAGGCCCACGCTGTGATGAGCTCTCTCCTGCAGCAGCTTGATGGCCACAAGCTGGCAGCAGGGGAAACCCTAGAGGTTTTGGGTAGGCACAGGCTAGCAGGCGTGGGAGATGTTTCTGCCCTTCCTTTGACACCCAATACAGATTTCTTTGCCTCAGGTGTCTCTGCCCCTGTCCTGCTTTCCTGTCAAGATTGTGTAGCCTTGGCCGGGCTCGGTGGCTCACGCCTGTAATCCCAACACTTTGGGAGGCCAAGATGGGCGGATCACGAGGTCAGGAGTTCAAGACCAGCCTGGCCAATATGGTGAAACCCTGTCTCTACTAAAAATACAAAAATTAGCCAGGCACAGTGGTGCGTGCCTGTAGTCCCAGGTACTCAGGAGGCTGAGGCAGGAGAATCACTTGAACCCGGGAGGCGGAGGTTGCAGTGAGCCGAGATTCACAGCACTGCACTCCAGCCTGGTGACAGAGCTAGACTCCATCTCAAAAAAAAAAAAAAAAATTGTGTAGCCTTTTTATCCAGTGCTCAGCACAATATTTTGCTAATACATGCTTAAATGTAAAATGAGGGGATTTGTTTAGACTTTTCCATCTACGTGGCTATGATTATGGGATTCTTGTTTGATGTAGTTGGTGGGAAAAGCAGAGGACATGCTCCCTGAAAAGACCAGGAACTTACTGGCTAGTATTGTTACTGGTGATAAAATTGTGACAGGTCTGACCTGCCTCCTAGCTTGTGGTCAGCCTACCTGCTTTGAGAAGGTGGTGGAGCATACGTGGTAATTAACCTACAGTGGTGCCACAGTTGCTGCTTCTGGGTAGAGCAGAGCGGTGAGCAACTCTGTCTCCTTTCCAAGCTGGCACCAGCTCAGGAGGAAGCATCCAAGGGGATTCTCATAAGCCACAGAGAACTGCCCATGAGTATGAAAGGGAATTCCTGGGCCAGGTGGCCACACTCAGCTGACAGCTCCTGCTGGGAGGAATGGTAGCATTTTGGTTTCTTACAATGTTCTCCATCTGGCTCCTTTGAAATGAGAGTTGAAAGGGTCCTGACCAGGGGACCTGCAGGAGGTGGACAGCAAGGCAGGCCTCAATTCTGGAAACAGCACCTCCACACATCACTTCTGGGGATAATTATCTCATCTGCCCTCTTTCAGGCAAAACTCAGAGTCTTTGGAGGGCCTTCGCTTTCCCAAAGTAGCTTAATTTTGGCCCCCGTTCTTCGTGCCTCCTAGGTTTTGTTGGGTGGACATTTAACATAGTAGAAAGCTGACTCCTCTTCCTATTAACCTCCTAGGTTTATCTCACCATCTGAATAGGGCCTTATAATCCTACAAATGAGGCCTCTCTCCCTATGCTCACCAGGAAAAATTGAACTCTCAAGACTGTCCATTTTCTTTGCCCTGTTATGGAAACTTCTCTTCCTTTTGCCATATCCCCCTCTTATCTTGGCTCTTGAAACTATTCCCTTAGGAAGAAAAAGGCAGTTCCCTTCCTGCCCTTCTTTTGAACCAAACTTCTGTTTGTGGTCTTGGAAACCATGACAACCTGGCCTAAGAAGCCACTTTGACCATCTTGGAAGTTAATATTTCAGTGCTGTGTACTCACAATTGTGAGCTCTCTAGCACCTTTTTGCTTTTGTTTTGTTTCGTTTTAAGATAGGGTCTCACTTTGTCATCCAGGCTGGAGTACAGTGGTGCCATCTCCACTCACTGCAACCTCTGCGTCCCAGGTTCAGGAGATCCTCCCACCTCAGCCTCCAGAGTAGCTGGGACTATAGGTGCGCACCACCATGCCTGGCTAATTTTTGTATATTTTGTAGAGATGGGGTTTCACCATGTTGCTCCAGCTGGTCTCGAACTCCTGGATTCAAGCAATCTGCCCACCTCAGCCTCCCACAATGCAGGGATTACAGGTGTGAATCATTGTGCCCTGCCTCTAGCACTTTTTTCCAAAGGGGGACAGAAGCCCGTGATCTACTGAGAGGAGAAAGTTTCAAACAAAGCAACCCTAGATAATCCTTCTACAAGTACATTAGCAAAGGAGCAATGTTCCCTGTAGGTTCTAGGGAGTGGATATGGGCAGCATTCGCTGGCAGTCTGGAGTAAGGTTCTGGAGTGTGGCCTATACTTATTTTTCCTGTGCTCTTTTCTTCTTTCCTCTTCTCACAATTGCTCAGTTACTCAGTAGACTAGTGTTGGAGGTAGCTATCTTTTCGCTTACACCAACTTTTTTTTCTTTCTTCTCCTCGATATGTTTGTCCTTCTTGCTCGGGTGCTACCTTTTAAAGCCCAAAGTTGGGAATCCAGGGAGCTGCGATGATTAACTGCAGGAGCCCAGTGGAAGAATTCCACAGCCTTAGACGGCAAAGTTTCCATAGCCTCACTGCCGTGGGACTTCCCCCGCATGAAGGCGAGCTCTCTTTCTTGGTCTGGCCATTGGAGGAGGGAGGGAAGACAGCAGCCTGGCGTGTCCTCAGCTTCTCTGAGGACTTGGCTGCTTACAGAGAGAGGGCCCAGTGACAGGAACCCTAAAGGGAGGAAAGTGACCCCCTCCCCACCACACTGAAAAAGATCCCTCTCTGGTGATGAAGATCTTGCTAATTTGGAACAGCTGGCCAGGGTGTGTTAGACTGGAGGAACTGGGGGAAAGCTTGCTCTGGCAATCTTCTGCAGAAACAAATAGCATGAGATGCCTATGAAAGTTTCACTCTGCTTGGATAGGATGTGTGATGCTACTCCTCCTCTGCGAATCCTTGTGTAGTGGTGGGGAAAGAGAGAAGAAAGCAGCCTGTCACCAGGGGTTGGATTTTAGCATCCATATGTCTATTCCCCACCATGCTCTGTAGGCTCAGAGTGGAACGGAGGTGGAACAGTGGAGCCATCTTGCAGCTTGTAGTTGGGTAGGACTAGCTTATTGTGTTCAGTTCTTGAGTGGTCAGCTTCTTTGGGAACCCTGAAAGGAGCCAGGGTCAGATTGTAGTGCCTTTTTAATCTGTCTAGTCTTCTGCCTCCATCAAGCCACTCCCCTATTTATGCTAGATTGGGAGCTTGGCTGAGCATACTACATCCTGACTTTGGTGTTTTGTTTTGTTTTTTTCATTTTTTAGATGGCTATAGTTACTATAACTGACTTTTGTATTTAATCCATGGGAATATTCTCCTATCCCTCCCCTTCCCCCACCTAGAGTCCTCAGTGTTAACTGTTTATCTCTACCTCCAATGTAGTTAGTTCCCACATAAATATTTGACTTAGACAAGCAAGCTCCAGATGGACTGGGGAGAATGCAGATTGGCTCATGGAATCTGGTCCCACATGCCTTTGACCCATCATCCGTGACCCCAGTGACACAGATGGGTCCTGGGTTGGTGCTGGCTGTGGCAGCCCCACAAGTGCCTGACTTGCTTTTCAGCACATTCCTGCTCCTTCCACTGTGTGAGCCACTGTGGACTAGGACAGGACTGATTGGTTTCAGAAATTATCCAGGCAAGGATCAATCCAATTAGGCTGTCCCTGGAGATGTGGGAAAAGAGAATGAGAGAGATTGAGAGATTGAAATAGACAGATAGATTGGGGAGAAGGAGGTAGGGGAAGGGATACACATAAGTATGGGATAATAAAGTCAGAAGTTTGGGAATGAGGTATAGAGAAAAATGGGGAGGTGGAAATAGTTTGGTGCTAGGTATTCTTCTTATGATCTTGGTAGCTTAGGGCTTTAGAAATAAAATAATCTAGAAAATATCTTATTTTTTCACTTCCTACAAACCTCCGACCACCATCCCACCATTCTTCCAGGTTTTGCCTTGGAGGTTGAAGTGGTGTTTAAAGTGGTATGTATAGGAGTTTAGAATCAACTGGGTTGTGTTCACCTTTGCCTCTCCCTAGAGAGTAGATGGATTCCTTCAGTGATGGCTCATTCCCCTTCTATCTGCACCAAAACCTCTGTGACTGTGTCCTGCAGATCAAGGGAGATGTGCCATCAACCATTCATTCAGTCTGCCAATTTTAAGGTGCAAAGAATGTGGGCAGATGGAGCAAGTGCTGAAGGAGTGGTGCCTGGGTCTTACTGATTGTCTCTGGAGACTGGATCCCTTTCCAGGACTTTTTTTGGTTGTTGTTTGTTCGTTTGTCTGTTTTTTGAGATGGAGTCTGGCTCTTGTTGCCCAGGCTGGAGTGCGATGGCGTGATCTCGGCTTACCACAACCTCTGCCTCTCAGGTTCAAGCGATTCTCCTACCTCAGCCTCCCGTGTACCTGGGATTACAGGCACGTGCCACCACCCCCTGCTAATTTTTGTATATTTAGTAGAGACGGAGTTTCTCCATATTGGTCAGGCTGGTCTCGAACTCCCGACCTCAGGTGATCTGCCCACCTCAGCCTCCCAAAGCGCTGGGATTACAGGCGTGAGCCACCGTTCCTGGCCCCTTTCTGGGACTTTCATACTTTTCCTTCCCTTGGAAACAGAAGCACACTGGATGGAACAGAGAGAGGTGGCTCATTCATTAATTGCACAGGTTAGGCCAGGCTCTGGAGCTGAGGTTGGGATAGAGAGGTGATGACACAACCTTTCTGCTCACTTGGAAGAAAAATACACAATACTCTCCACTTTCTCTCCCCTGAGAGACTTCCATCAACAATGACCAGCTGGGGCTGAGTCACCTCTTTGCCTGCCCTTTGTCTCTTTCAACAATGAGCCCTGTGTCCATCACTGTGGATGCGAGCCCTTTGGAATAGATGTTCTTTCTAGTCCATGAGTTTTGGAAGCTCACTCTACCTTGGGACACTGAAATATGTCTGCATCTCTCTTTGTCTTTTTATGTATTCCCAAGTAATGGCCACTCGGCTTGAGTTCATACTCTTTTTTATTTTATCTTTTTTTTTTTTAATTGAGTCTCACTGTGTCACCCAGGCTTGGAGTGCAGTGGCACGATCTCAGCTCACTGCAACCTCCATCTTCCCGGTTCAAGTGATTCTCCTGACTCAGCCTCCCAAGTAGCTGGGATTACAGGTGTGTGCCACCACAGGTGGCTAATTTTTGTATTTTTGGTAGAGACGGGGTTTCGCCATGTTGGCCAGACTGGTCTCTAACTCCTGACCTCAGGTGACCCACCTGCCTTGGCCTCCCACAGTGTTGGGATTACAGGCGTGAGCCACTGCGCCCGGCCGAGTTCATACTCTTAACCTAGGAAGAGAAGCACAGCTTATCTGGAACCTTAATTCATAGTTAGTACTTTTCCATCAGCCTACACCCAACAGTCCAGGACTATACCTTTTTCATCTGTGGACTCTTTCCTCACCTCTCCCTTCTCCCTTCCCACCCTATAGGAACTAGGATGCTGATGATAGTTGGTTTGACAGGTTTAGAAGTGATGCCTGCTCTGCTCTTCTGACCTCAAGGTTCTGCCAAGACTGATTTTTATCCCAAGTTCTGATTTCTCCAACAAGAGCTTATGAGCTAACCAGGGCTGTCAGTTAGGACTTTAACCTCTCCTGGGGCACCAGAAGGGTGCTTCCCTGATGGGAGCATCAGTGTCTTCCCCCTTCTCCTGCCCTCTCTCCTCCCCGTGGGGAGTGTTCTCATCTATATCCTTTCTGAGCCATGGTGGCATCTGGGAGACATTCAGTTATCATATGAGATGGGAGGAAATGGAACAGTCTATGCAATTTGCTGTTTTTAACACTGCCCTAACTTTATTTTTATCTGGTTAATGTGTCTGTTGGCAGTAAGAGGTTTTTAATCTCCTAATAAGTGTATACCAATCCAAAAGAAGCTGGAATAAGGTGGGGAGAAGGGGTTGATAAATTCCTGCAGCATCTTTATATTCCAACTAGCTGTTTCTGAAAGGTGACTCTTTCTCTTACTCACATGTTGTTTAGTGATTGACGACCTATAGCATATTTATTAGTCAGTTCACGCTTTCAGCTCAGTTGTGTGTATGTGAGTGTGTGCATGCCTGTGATTAATTACCACATTGACTTGTGACTCCCACTTTCTTGACCTTCATTTTTTTTCTTTATTTTGTTTAGATAAAAAAAATAAGTCTCACTATGTTGCCAAGGCTGATCTCAAACTCCTGAGTTCAAGCAATCCTCCCTCCTCAGCCTCCCAAAGAGCACGATTATAGGCGTGAGCCACCGCACCTGCCTCTCCTGCCCATCTTGAACCACCTATGGCCCTTATTTCTCTTCTTCTTTGCTATTTTATTTTTGGTTGAGGGAGTCAAGGCAGAGGGCCATAGTACTTCCATCGAATAGATGCAGACTGACCTCTGATCACTCCCTAACCCCTCGGCCAAAAACCTTTCCCACGTCTCTGGTGCCCGAGACATATGTGTCTAGGGAGGAATCAGCTGCACTGTTACTCATCCATCAGCATCTGAACCTTGCATGCTGACTCTGTGATGCTGACTAAGGGTCCTCACCACCTTGACTAAAATCTTGGGTCTTGCTATGCAGAAGTAGCCCTTCACCCCAAAGCTAAGGAGAAAGGATTGGATGAAAGTTCTCTGTAGAAGTGGAGGAAACACGTGTCTCCTCAGAGGTACCTCTAGAGGTTGTTCTCTGCAACCCTCCAGCTAGAGTGAGCAGGCTCCTTGCCTGGGTGGCACTGCTACCCACAGAGGGGATGGGGGCTTCGAAGCTCTCCTCCCACGACACCTGGTGAATCCTCCATGTCTTCCTCCCTTGATAGTGGCAGCTGGTGGGGGCTGGGGGGAGGGAGGAGTGCTGCTGTTAGAGCAAGAAGACAAAGTGGCTTTGTCTCTTATCCGTAATATAAGTGCAGGGAGGTGAGAAGACCCTGGGGTTTGGCGTTTCTCCTTGAGGAGCTGAGCCAGAGGCAGGGCTTTGGTTCCTAAGTGATTAGAGGCCTGCATGGCCAGAGGCCGCACCTTCCCTTTTGGAAAGGAGCTCACCCACACTCCTTGCTTCCATCTTCCCCTTCCTGGCTCAAGTCATAGGCTCTATTTTCTGGCTATCCTGTTTTTGTTCCTGAGTAAGTTGCGGTGGCTCTTTTTTTTTTTTTTTTTTTTTTTTTTTTTTTTAAAGCTGATTTAGGGGGTTGGGAAAAGAAAACTTTAAAAGTAAAATAATAAAAAACAGACCACTCTGTCATTACAGGCACATAAATAGCTTTACCGTCGCTGGGCTGCACACTCGCTTTGCCATAGCAACCTAAAGCGACTGTTTATAACAGCTTGTCAACTGGCCTGGAAACCAGCAGCTGCTGCTGGCCGCCCTGGCCTCGGAGCAGTGGGCAGGCGCTCCCTGAGAGGTGTTATGGAGGCGGTGAGCCTGGTGCTTCTTCTGGAACCGTGGGGGATGGCAGGGGAACGGCAGCCTGGGTTCCAGAGGCAACCAGGGGCAGTAATGTTTTGGGAGCCAAAGTGAGCAGCGAATGTCTTTTGTTTTTGTTTTCCCCTCATCTGTGTATGGGCCCCAGCATCGCTCATCTCCTGTGGAGATAGAAGACAGGGCTGGGAGGGGATTTGCTCCACTGGAACCTGAAAGGGGCCTGGGTGTCCCTCTGAACCTCACGAGGTGGCTTGTTTTAACTTTTCGAATAGACCTTGGCTTCTGTTGTAGCCTGTTGAGTGACATCCTCTCAAGTCTGTTTTCTCAAAGACTAAAAAAATGTGGGCTTTTTCAGGGCTCTGTCTGGGAAAGGGGGCTGCCCAGAGATAAATGGAAGCAGAGATCAGCAACCTGGAAGGACTAGCAGAGGGAGAGGGAAGAGTGAAGGAGACACATGGCAAGATCTTCCTGTGCCTTCCCATGTCAGCCTGGAGCTGAAGGGGTTCATGGGAATGCTTTGGAACCTCGCAACATTTTCAAAGTGTGGTCCCCAGACCAGATGCATCAGCTCACCCTGTTAAGGAACTTGTTAGGAGTGCACCTTCCCAGGCCCCACCTCCGTTCTTGTGCACCAGAAACTCAGGAGTTGGCAGGGAGGGGCCCAATAGGTTTGCCCCAGTTCTCCAGAGGATCCTAGTGCTCACTCTGGGTTTGAGAACCACAGCTCTAAAACATTACTCAAGTGCAAGGAAGCATGATCAGTTCGCTTTCCAAAGGCCTAGGCTGACTGAATGGATCCTGTCTGTGCAATATGTGAACAAGGAAGAATAAAACAGGCGCAGAGGGGTGGCAGGTTATTAGCGATCATTCCTGGCCACCTTTTTTAATAAGCACTGTCTTTTCAGCATGGAGCCCTCGCTGATTTGCCTGTGACTTCCAGGAAATAAGCCCAGAGAAGGCTGGAATAGGTAAAGCGGGGATGGGAGGTTCTCTGTACTCTGTACAGGTGAGACTGTCAGAGTGGAGAAAGGGAATGGGAGCAGCCAGGCCTGATGACCAGTATGGGACATGCTGACTAGTATCTGGGCCACACAGGAATGTTGTTTTAAGTCCTCTCCTGCTGAGCGTCTGGGGACAGAGCAGCTGCCCCTGGTGCTCCCTTTTGGTGGATGAGATGTGGCCTCCTCAGTCTGTGGCCAGGCAACTTCTTCCCCCTTGTCCTGAGGACTCCACCAGATCCTGAGGCCTGGGAACAACCAGGTCCCGACCCGGTAGCCCAGGGAGATGACCCCTCTCCATAAGCATGACATGATTCTGCTGAAATTCGTTTCTAAAAATAACCTAGGATCCGATCCAGCTGCTAAAAAGCCCCTTTGTTCCCTTGAAACCAAAATATGGAAAGCCACAGCAGCCCCAAGAAAGACAGTCTGTGTAGTCCAAGAGAGTGCATATACGAAATACTTGAATGCTGCTGCCGGAGGGCTGCGTCCTGTCTGTGGCCTAGAAGCTTCCTGCCGCAGCTCTGAGGAGTGAGTAGCAGTTATCGTTGCTAACCCTTATCCTGAGTGAACGGGGTCAGGAGAGGCTGCCAGTACCCCTTTTGTTAAACAGACCTTCCAGATGGCATTGTCACTTCCACCTGAAGGTGGCTCTTGTCCTCCTTAAACAACTGAAGGAAATGGTGAGCGCTGCTGTTTCATCCTCTACATTTTTTTGAGCTCTAGCTTGCTGTGAACACCCCTACCTCCACCCCATACATCCTCTGAGTCACTGGAGGACACAGAGGTGACCCAGGCCAGTGTGACTCACACAATTTGAAAGAGGTTGGCTTTCCCAAGGCTCTGGGCCTAAGGGACTGCCCTTTCTCATCTTGATAATTTTTTTTGAGATGGAGTTTTACTCTGTTACCCAGGCTGGAATGCAGTGGCACGATCTCAGCTCACTGCAACCTCTGCCTCCAAGGTTCAAGTGATTCTCCTGTCTCAGCCTTCTGTGCAGCTGGGATCACAGGCGTGCAACACCACACCTGGCTTTTTTTTTTTTTTTTTTTTTTTTTTTTTTTTTTTCTGAGATGGGGTCTCACTGTGTCTCCCAGGCTGGAGTGCAATGGCACAGTCTTGGCTCACTGCAACCTCCATCTCCCGGGTTCAAGCAACTCTTCTGCCTCAGCCTCCTGAGTAGCTGGGACTACAGGCACGTGCCACCACACCTGGCTAATTTTTTGTATTTTTAGTAGAGACGGGGTTTCACCATGTTAGCCAGGATGGAATTTTTATATTTTTAGTAGAGACGGGGTTTCGCCATGTTGGCCAGGCTGGTCTCAAACTCCTGACCTCAGGTGATCTGCCCACCTTGGCCTCCCAAAGTGCTGGGATTACAGGCATGAGCCACTGCGCCTGGCCTCATCTTAATAATACTGATGCCATTTCAAGATGGAGCCAGTGGCCAGGGGTCAGGGGGACAGCCGTGCCCTCCCAGGCACATTCCTGCTTCCTCCCACCACACTGTTTCCCTACCCATGCCCTGGAGCTTTCTGTCTTCATCTTGGTGGTTCTTAAAACCTGTGACATGGGTTGGATCTTAGCAGACCAGGTGATCAGGATCAGGCTGTCAACCTTGGGTCAATTCTTGGTATCGCTGTTTGGAGAAAGCTTTTGTCATCTATGGGTCCTACCTTCTCCCTGCCTTCTGAAGGCATCTGACCAGAACTGGTAAGTTTTGCCACCATTATCACTGCACAGCATATCCTAGACAACACAGCCACTCCAAGACTGAGAGGTATTTTATTTTTATTTTTTGGATCTCAGATCACCACAGATAATGTTCCAGTGAACATCCTTGCACATGCCCCCTCCAGGCCCTGGATGAGGATTTCTTTGGAAGATGTAGCCAGGACTAGATGACTGGGTCCACAGCATGCATAGATGTAGTTTGACCAAAAAGCACCAAGTGATTCTGGGGAGGAGGGATGAATTCTGGATTCCTGAGACCCAGGGGCTACGAGTGACACGTTTTCTCCGATTAGATGCTTTGACTCTAGTACTACCTTTTTTGGTGGAATTGAAGAAGGTGCTGTCAGAGTAGCAGACTTGGAGAGGGGGAAGTAAGTGAGGGAGGCCCGTGGATACCACCTCCTAACCAGGAAGTGGCGTTCTATCTTCAGAAAGAGAGAACTGAGCCTGCGAGTGACATCCTCTCAAGTCTGTTTTCTCAAAAACTAAAAGGATGTGGGCTTTCCTTGGGTCTCTGGGAAAGGGGGCTGTCCTGAGATGACTGGAAGCAGAGACTAGCAACCTGGAAGGACTATAGGGGGGAGAGGGAAGAGCAAAGGAGACATGAACCAGAACCCAGAACTTCAGGAAGGGAGTACCCCACCCCCAGGAGGCTAAGTTCTAGGGGCTAGCTGAAAATTAGCATCAGATTCCCTGACCAGGCCATGGTATACTATCCCATGGTGAGGCCAGAGGCCTGGCTTGGTGTGCCCGCCCTCACCTGGCTTCCTGGCTTGGGTGTGGCTGTCGGATGATGATGACAAGTGGTCCCACCCGCCACCTGAACTTTAGCCAACACCTGCTGCCTCTGACCTTGTTCCCATGCCTCCAAAGGGCCTCAGTAGGCTGAAGGAGGGCATGTGCTCTAGTCTGCTTCTGCAAACCAGTTGGCATTTAAGGAGCAATTAGGGCAGGGCAGACATGGGGAGGGGAGGAAGAACCCGGGATTGTGATGAGGATGGCTGCCAGACCTGAGGGATTGGAAGTGGCCAGGGTGAACTAGAATCTGGGTCATGGAAATAAGGAGCCTGTGATAAGGAGGCGGGCAGAACAGCCTCTGCCTGAGATTCACACCTCCGGAGAGAAGGGCTAGCCAGGGATGTTTTAGGCTAGGCAGCCTACCATGGTCAGGTTCTTGCCAGCTTTCTTGATAGGGCACTGTCCTTTGGAAGCGTAAGAGTGCCAGAGAGAAGGAGTAGAGCTTAAACCCCCCAAGGTGGTGCACAGGAAACAGCCCTGCTGGAAACAAGAGAGAGAATGCAGAGCAGGTTCTCCCTCTGTGCTTCTCCCAGATCACCAGGGGGAGCAAGGCCAAGAGCATGAGACGACTGAGTGGAGGAAGCCCTCATCCCCACCACTGGGCTCTCCAGGCAGGAATTGGATATGCTTGGACTCACAGCAATCTAGAGCCCAGTGCTTTCTGGCTTGGGGTGGGGGTGGGGTGAGGGGAGGGGAGGACAAGGGGGAAGGGAGGGTGTCTGCTCCCAAAAAGCTTTGAGTCTATCCCTATGCCTTCCCAGAAAGTTTACAAGAGGTAGATATTTCCCTGACCTATTTCAGTGCCTTTAGGAGTCAGGAACAAGGGACAGATGGGTTTATGTGAGCCTTCTCATCAAGGTTTAGGAAGTAAGCTCATAGTTTGTTTACATTTTTTTTATATCATTGTTCTTGCACTTGAGGCAAGTTGGCTTTGAATTCAGATTAGGGCACAAATCTGGCTCTCTGAATCTATATTTCCCTGCTATAAGAAGGAGAGGTCCTTCTTATAGGGTTGTTGGTGAGAATTCAATGAAACAGTGTATGTAAGAATGATAATAGCTACAGTGTGTGGACCAGCCACTATGCCAGGCACTACATAATACATAGGGGTATGTACATAATTTCTAATTTTCATATGAAGTACCTAGTATGACTCCTAGCACATGGTAGGTGCTCAACAAATATTTTTTTCCCAACCTTCCCACCTCTCCCAATCCCACATCCCTGTTCCTGAGTATAGGGAGAAGTAGAGCCTCGCTTGGAATGAGGGAGACTGACTCTAGGTCAGAAAAAAGACTACGGGTTTTCTGAGGGACTCCTAAAGCAGGTTTTGTTTGTTTGTTTCTGAAGCAGAGTCTCGCTGTCACCCAGGCGGGAGTGCAGTGGCACGATCTTGGCTCACTGTAGCCTCTGCCTCCCAGGTTCAAGTGATTCTCCTGTCTCAGCCTCCCAAGTAGTTGGGATTACAGGCATTCACCACCATGCCCAGCTAATTTTTTCTGTTTTTAGTAGAGACAGGGTTTCACCTTGTTGGCCAGGCTAGTCTCAAACTCCTGACCTCAGGTGATCCGCCCACCTCGGCCTCCCAAAGTGCTGGGATTACAAGCATGAGCCACCGCACCCGGCCCTGAAGCAGGTTTTATATTGTAGCTGGGTGCATTCTAAAGTGGGACCAGGCTGCTTCCCCTCTCCAGAGGTCTTCCCTTCCTCACTCATCAAGTCCTGCCTGGCAGTGATGCTGGCACCCCTGCCAGAGTATCTCCAAGTGCTACCGGCTTGCTCCTGAGCAGAGGCTCTCAGCCCATCGGGGAAGGACAGAGTAGGGCAGGGCAGGGAAGTGTCTGCTCCACTGAGCAGCCCCTGCCTGTAGCCCAGAAGCCAGAGTTGACCAGAGCCTCTTATTATTCCAGGCAGGTCTGTCTGCAGTGCTGCAGCAGCCTGAAGCCCTAGCCCCGGGCCCCTCCTGTTTCCTTTCTCCCATTTTTATGCATCACATCACATTCAATAGGAGCATTTAGTAGCGGGGAGACTCAGGGGGTGAGTTCCTTTCATATTTTCAAATATACCCTACTCTATAACCTATACAAGGTATCACTCTTTTTCCTCATAGTTTGGGGATGTATTTCTTCTTTAGCAGCCTGGGAAAGCTAAAAGTAAAAGATTCCTTGGACAAAATTGGAGGAAAGTGTGTCTGACTAGTGTTTACACTTTGGTGACTTAGGTTCTTGTCTCTGGCAGCTCCTCATTTCTAGAGGCTTTTTTTTTTTTTTTTTTTTGAAGTCAGGGTCCCACTTGGTTTGCCCAGGCTGAAACTAAGTGATATGAACACAGCTCACTGCACACTGCAGCTTCCACCTCCCAGGCTCAAATGACCCTCCCACCTCAGCCTCCCAACTTGCTAGGACCACAGGTGTGCGCCATCATGCCCAGCTAATTTTTGTATTTTTTGTAGAGACAGGGTTTCACCGTGTTACCTAGGCTGGTATCGAACTCCTGAGTTCAAGCGATTCTCCCGCCTCAGCCTTCCAAAGTGCTGGGATTACAGGCAGGAGCCACGGCACCTGGCAGATGCCTGCCTTTTAAAGGGCCTCTTAGAAGCTTGCCAGAAAATGAGGAGGTTTAGGCTCAAGAGAAGGAGCAAAGTGTAACAAAAAGAGCACCAGGCAGTCAAGACCACTGACTTGCTAAGACCAAACCACTTTTTTATCTCCCTGTACCTTTGTATCTTCATCTGTAAGGTGGGGGTCACAGCTGTCCTAACTAGAATTGATATGACCAATGCTTTCACACGTCATCTACAAATTATAGAACAGATGTTATAGGAATTTAGGAGGAAAAAAGTAAAATGTCTTAATGATCATGTAAAGCATTATGATTTCTTGCCCTAGGAGGAAGAGATGAGAGAGTTAGCTCTTCTATCCTATCATCTCTTAGGCTTGCAAAATATTAGAAAAGAGGAGGGAGCACATACCTTACCGAGAATGCCCCAAGCCGAATGACTAACCCTTACCTGAAAAGAGGTAGTACCTTTCAGGTGTCTGAGCAGTTCATTTGATGCTGAGGTGGTGTGAGCACCTTCAGATTATTCTTTGGCAGTTGCCTAATCAGATTAGGGGCCAGGCAAGCTCAGCAGTTGCAGAGAACTCATACTCCGGAGAGTTCAAAACTCAGACAGAAGTGGGGACGTCATGATATGTTTCCTAGTATTATAGCGATCCCACCTTAAACCTCAGGCCCCAACTCTGCACTGCCCTTTTGACTTTGTGCCAGCAGCTTAGCGCTTGACCTACTCTGTGTTTCTCTAGATAAGCCTGAGGCAAACAAATCTTTTCATTCTTTTCCACATGTGTTCTTCAGCCCCATGTGTTCTAATCTTATGCGACCTTTTCCATCAGTTGCCTATGGAAGTGGAAGAATCTCTCCGCTTTGGTACTGTGAAAAGAGGTTCAAAGTAAGGAAGGAATTCTGCCAGGCGCAGTAGTTCACGCCTCTAATCCTAGCACTTTGGGAGGCCGAGGGGGGTGGATCACAAGGTCAAGAGATCGAGACCATCCTGGCCAACATGGTGAAATCCCATCTCTACTAAAATACAAAAATTAGCTGGGCATGGTGGCATGCGACTGTAGTCTCAGCTACTTGGGAGACTGAGGCAGGAGAATCACTTGAACCCAGGAGGCAGAGGTTGCAATGAGCTGAGATTGCGCCACTGCACTCCAGCCTGGCAACAGAGCGAGGCTCCATCTCAAAAACAAACAAACAAAAAAAACACAAAATATTAGCTGGGCATGGTGGCAGGTGCCTATGATCCCAGTTACTCAGGAAGCTGAGGCGGGAGAATCACTTGAACCTGGGAGGCGGAGGTTGCAGTGAGCCAAGATCGCACGACTGCATTCCGGCCTGGGTGACAGAGTGAGACTCTTTCTCAAAAAAAAAAAAAAAAAAAAGGAAGGAATTCTGACTCAGACTGTCTTTTCTAATTCTCAAGAGACCCAAGACCCTATATGCTGGTGGTTATTGCTAATGGTTATAACCTAGCTAATGGTTATTGTTAATGAAGCTGCCTTAGAATTTTCCATTCTTTTGGTGGGGTGGGGGTTCCCTGGCAAGGAAAGATGGAAGGGCACATGGAGCTTATTGTTCTTCTTCTACTTAAAGGGCTTAATAACAAAAGTTCATTAAGATCAAATTAGGCGGCTGGGCGCGGTGGCTCATGCCTGAATCCCAGCACTTTGGGAGGCCGAGGCGTGCGGATCACGAGGTCAGGAGACCAAGACCATCCTGGCTAACACGGTGAAACCCCGTCTCCACTAAAAATACAAAAAATTAGCCGGGTGTGGTGGTGGGCGCCTGTGGTCCCAGCCACTCGGGAGGCTGAGGCAGGAGAATGGCGTGAACCCGGGAGGTGGAGCTTGCCGTGAGCTGAGATCGCGCCACTGCACTCCAGCCTGGGCGACAGAGTGAGACTCCGTCTCAAAAAAAAAAGAAAAAAAAGATCAAATTAGGCTTTCTCCCATCACTTAAGTGTCCTATTCCAGACACTGGATACCTTTCATCTAAGATTTCCAAGCACTATTTCTATAATTCCATTCCTTTATCACTTTCTTAGGGTGGTGCGAAAAGACAGGGCCCATTCTCTACCCAACTAAAGGTGGAAGGAACTGAGTCCTGAGAAGGCTAAGTAACATCCCTGTCTTCATGAAGCAAACATTGTAGTGGGTGAAGACAGAAAAGGTAAAATCCTCTGATTCCTAGTTCAACACTCTATCAGCATTGTTCCCAACATCCTCTTGAAAGGTTAAGGAGTTCTACTTAAGGGTCAAGTTGGGTTTCTTGCTACTTTAGCCCTTCCCACTTCTTCCAGGCTTGGAGGAGAAGCTGAACTGGGGTGAAAACTCTGTGGTCCTGCCTGTGCCTATACCAGTCTGAATGAAGGGAGTTTGACACATTGCCTCAGGTTCTTTGTGGATCTTCTTGTTTCCCAGATAAGAAGGGAGTACGATATTTTAAAAACAAATAGAGCCCTGCTTTCTTAACTCTTTGTAAGTCAGAGTAGTGCTAAAAATCTATGTGGCGAGGAGGACGCAAAGGGCAAATTGGGAGAGGGAGGAGTATAAATCAACCTGCATCCCTGTGGAAGCTTCTGGGAAGAGGATTGTCAGGAATCGGCAAAGACTTTGGCTACATGTGACTTTGGAGGAGATCATTGATAAAAGAATCAAGTCCCTTATCTGATGGTTCTTGTGCTTCTTTGTTCACCTTCTAGAAGTAAGTGTGGCATCTATTTATTACAGAGAGGTTGGCCAGAGCTCCTTGCCACCCCCTGGTAACTGAAGTCGTCAGTGGGGACTACGTAACCGGGGCTGGGGTCCCATGTTCTGGTGCTGTGCTAAGAGTCCCTTCACATTTAAAAGGCTGATGTGTGGCAGTGACACCTGTCAGTGGCATGACACACAGCGGCCCCACTCTGAAACTGAGAAGGGGCCTCAGGATAAGTTCTCTTCCCACCTTCAGCCCTCCGTTTTGTCACCTACACCACACCCCCTAGTTAGCATGCGTGAGAGGTAATGCATCTTTCTGAGGGGAGAAATGCTGGCCTCTCTCTGGTGCCTTTATTGAGCTGATGTGAGACTCTGGTGCTCACTCACAGGCTAGCTTGTCTCCCTTGCTAACCTTGCTGTGGCCCTATCCTCTATCTGAATTGAGAGGTATCTTACCGCTCCCACTCCAGAGAAACTTTAATGCTCAGGCTTCAAACTCCCTATCTTTCCTCCTCAGAGGTCCTTCTGTCCCCTTTACTAGAAAAAAAAAAAAGTTCACCCTGCGTCACCAACTGCCAAAGCATTTTACTCTCCTCTTCTCCCCAAAAGCCTCTTGGAGGAGGGTGGAGCTTAGCCTCAGAACAAAACTTGGTGCCGGCCAGGTTGACACCTGCACGGGCTGCAGAATTTCCGTACACCTGGAGGCTGAGTACTCTAACGGGCTTTGGAGGATTTTGACATCTTCTATCAAGTTGTCATTTCCATACACCTGGAGGCTGAGTACTCTAAGGGGCTTTGGAAGATTTTGACATCTTCTATCAAGTTGTCTTCCTTGTGTGTAAATGTGTGTGTTGGGAGTGGGAAGAGTGTGGGTTGTGGGAGAGGAAGGCAGACTGACAGGCCACCCTTCAGATCACTTAGATCTGAACTCCTTTTTCTGACCTCTTCTCATCTTTTATAGATAAGGTCAGACTAAAGGATCCTGTCACAGGTCCCTCAAATAGACAGGGAAAACATTAGAGCCATCAGAGGTCGTAACCATTTATTTCCAAGTTTCTGAAGCTGTGGGTTTTATGTTGCTTGGTTGGGAGAGGTGAGACGTGAAGACTCGGGTATTGAAATTACTCCTCTACATTGGAGTTTACAGGCTGCAGGGGCCTCCCAGGAAGGAACGGGCCTCTCTTGAGTCAGCTCTCTAAGCTCAGGCCTAGCTATCAGTTCAGCTCAGATCTCAACTGTCACTTAAACCCTTGTGCTTAGACTGGGTACCTCTTGCCCTTGCAGATGCTGGATACTTATGGCTGCTCTAATGGTTTCTTTTTGTCTATCTTTGAACCTTTATTCCAGAGATCCAGTTGTCATCGGTATCCAGGAAGCTCTCCTCTTCCTCCTCCTGACGTCTACTACTACAGTTGCTGGTTGTTGCTAAGGTTGCTGCCATGGTAACATGCACATCCTGTTTACACCTTCATCTGGGCAAGTTGGTCTAAGCTAGGAACCTACCTACCCTGGACAACTACTATCATCACCACCTGGGGACACCAATCATCGTGACACGGAGTCCACCTTCCACTCAGTTCCCCCATCCTCTTCCTCCTCTCGCTGCCAGACTTCATACGGAAGAAAGGATCTAGACTTCGGACGGCTACTCGGGAGCTTATTGCACAAGATATATTCAATCTATTCCCTCACTGGGCCCCCAGAGAAGCAAGAAGTAGGAAGAAGTTGAGACAGGGAGGCAGGAGACACTGGTCAGTTGAAGGGAAACGCTACATCTTCTCTGGTTGAGGGGCTTGGTAACAGCAGGCAAAATGACGAACCCATCAGACCGTGTCTTGCCTGCCAACTCGATGGCCGAGAGCCGTGAAGGGGACTTTGGCTGCACAGTAATGGAACTGAGGAAGCTCATGGAGCTGCGTTCAAGGGATGCACTGACCCAGATTAATGTCCACTATGGAGGTGTACAGAATCTCTGCAGTAGACTGAAAACCTCCCCTGTGGAAGGTAAAGGCCATATCAGGGGTGGGGAGTTGGAGGAAGGTGGCTAGTGTTTCAAAATATTGTTTTCCCAGCTTCTAGAGAAGGCACATTTCTGGAGGCCCAGCTGGTATATTTTTGTCTGGTGGGAAAGGTATGGCATCTGAAGCACTGAAAGGAGGGCAGGCCATGAAGAACTGTATCTTTCCCAGAGATGATGTTTAGAAAGTGTGCTATTCTCTAAAGATTATTCTTTTCTCCTTTTTCTTTTCTTTCTTTCTTCTTCTTTTGTTTCTTTTTTTTTTTTTTTTTTTTTTGGTGAGACAGGGTCCTGCTCTTTTACCCAGGCTGGAGTGCAGTGGCGTGATCATGGCTCACTGCAGCCTCAACCTCCTGGGCTGAAGCCATCTTCCTACCTCAGTCTGCTGGGTAGCTAGGACCACAGGTGTGTGCCATCACACCCAGCTAGCTTTTTAGATTTTTTTGTAGAGTTGAGGTCTCAGTATCTTGCCTAGACTCATCTCAAACTCCTGGACTTAAGTGATTCTTCCACCTTGGCCTCCCAAAGTGTTGGGATTACAGGCACAGTGAGCCACTGCTCCTGACCCCTCTTTTCTCCTTTTTCTGTATCAGTGTCCAGAAAGGAGGATATTTATTTTTAAAATGTTTATGTTATAAATGTTGTTGTCAGTAAATAATCAAGTCTGTTCTTCTATATGTCTGATTATAAAATAATTTAATTCTTCCCTACACTGATCTTACAGTTTAATGAATGGAGGAAGGAAGGGTACAAAAAAGTGAATAAGTCCAGCTGCCCAATTGAGCACTTCTCTATTGTATACTGTTAGAAATGGGATGATAGGCCAAGCAGGTGGGTGGCTCACATCTCTAATCCCAGCATTTTGGCAGGCTGAGGTGAGAGGATCACTTGAGCCCAGGAGTTCCAGACCAGCCTGGGTGACATAATAACACCCCATCTCTATTTTTTTTTTTTTTTTTTTGGAGACAGAGTCTTGCTGTGTCACCCAGGCTGGAGTGCAGTGGAATGATCTTAGCTAACTGCAACCTCCGCCTCCCAGGTTCAAGCAATTCTCATGCCTCAGCCTCCTAGGCAGTTGGGACTACAGGTGTGTGCACCACCACGCCCAGCTAATTTTTTGTATTTTAGTAGAGATGGGATTTCACCCTGTGGGTCAGGCTGGTCTCGAACTCCTGACCTCAGGTGATCTGCCTGCCTTGGCCTCCCAAAGTGTTGGGATGAGGAGGCTTACAGGCATAAGCCACCACGCCCAGCCTCTATTTTAAATAAAAAGAAAAAAAAAAGGAAATGGGATGCTAAATCACAAGGTATATAACTGTACCCATCATATCTTTGGATCACTCACTGTTTTGTGTCAGGGAATTATAAGTGATTTTTTTTCAACTCTGCTGGATACACTTTTAATGTAGTTCTCCTTAATCTTTTTTGTTTGTTTTGTTTTTTGTTTTTTTGGTTTTTTTGTTTTGAGAAGGAGTCTCACTCTTGTTGCCCAGGCAGGCTGGAGTGCAATGGTGCAATCTTGGCTCACTGCAACCTCCACCTCCTGGATTCAAGCAATTATCCTGCTTCAGCCTCCTGAGTAGCTGGGGTTACAGGCATGTGGCTAATTTTGTATTTTTAGTAGAGATGGAGTTTCACCATTTTGACCACACTGGTCTCAAACTCCTGACCTCAGGTGATCCGCTCACCTCAACCTCCCAAAGTGCTGGGATTACAGGTATGAGCCACTGCGCCCGGCCTTAATCTCTTCTTAAAAGCTAAAAAAACTTAAAAGATAATGAAAAATTCAGCTTCAGGCTTTGGCCCAGCCCAGTTGCCCAGTGTGCCATGGTATTATGAAATTTTGCCTCATCAAAATGTAGAAAGAACAAAAGGAAACTTGCTTTTTCACTTTAGTCTGGTTTTAGCATCTCTGTAGCAGATTCTTACTTGGCCCTATACATCTGGCAGTTCATGGTTGAGTAGCATGAGATGGAGCAAAGATCTTGTCCATTAGGGGCTTTCAGTCTCATGTGGTCTCCTATTTCTGAATCTTCCTCAGAGGCCACAGCATATTTCTCACCAATTCTAAGAAGTTGTTACCCTTTGCCAGTGCTGTATTATAAGTTAGTGACTTGGAGCCTAGACTCTTTAGGATGAAAAAAGAGAAAGAGAGTTTTACATAGATATCTATACCTAGTTTATGTCTTATTTTCTTTACAACCTAAGGGAGCTTCCCTACCTGTTTTCTTTACTTCTAGAATTTGGTTTCCTATCTCATAGGCTTTGAGTTCAAATGATAGCTCCACCATTTACTAACTAAGTAGCCCTCTACAGTTTACTCAGCCTCCCTGAGTCTGTTTCTTCTTTGAAAATAATGTTAATAACACCTAGCCCATAGAGTTACTGAGATTAAATAATACATATACAGTGCTCATACTTATAATTAGGTGTTCAATAGATTAGTTTTCTCAGATTAAAACAGAGTCCATGCATCTGTAGATACTTGCCAGAACATGGGTGCCTATGGAGTGCAATGTTTTGTCCTATCTGGAGAGGTTACTGTGTGTGTAACTGCAACTACTGTCCATTTCATTTGCTCACTTCTTAATCACAAAAAAAAAAAAAACCCTGGGTAAGGTGGCAATATCTAATTGCTTTCATGTGGCTCAGTCTTTGCCTTCTAATGGTAGTCCTTAATCATACCCCTTTGGGCTCTGTCTACTTCTTGCCAGCTAGATTTCTTTATTCAGTCACTTTTACAGCCGTACTGACTGCTGAGGGTCTGTTCTTAATTATATCTTCACTGAGATTATGCAGTACTTTACAAACACCCATCAGAATTTAAACAGGATCTTTCTTTTTCCCTTCCTATGCTGTTCTTGATCCCTCTGGTCAGCTGTCTGTCTCACAAACAGGAACTCGGGAGTCCAAAGAAGCTGGAACCTAGAGAACTCCTGACAGCAGGATTCAGGCTTTCCTCCAATTTTCCAGATCCCTTCCCAGAGCTGCCACTGTTTACTTTCTGATTCCCAGAGAGCTTCCTTTCCCAAAGGCCAACATATATTCTACTTTCTGTCAACATTGGATATCAAATGTTATAGACATAGCTAATGCTCTTGGATCCTTTCCCAGTCCTGGTTTCAGCCCCTTCCAATGGCAAGTGCTTCCCTCGTTACAGCCCCTGGCCATGCCTGTAGCCTAGGACTCCTAACACTGGCACAATTTTCTACTGCCATGTACTGCTTCCTTAGATCACAAATATGTGTCCTGGTGTTTTTCTTTCTTTTCTTTCTTTTTTTTTTTTTTTTTTTTTTTTTTAGAAGGAGTTTTGCTTTTGTTGCCCAAGCTGGAGTGTAATGGCGCGATATTGGCTCACTACAACCTCCGCCTCCTGGGTTCAAGCAATTCTCCTGCTTCAGACTCCCAAGTAGCTAGGATTACAGGTGCACGCCACCACTCCCAGCTAGTTTTTTGTATTTTTAGTAGAGACGGGGTTTCATCATGTTGGCCAGGCTGGTCTCGAACTCCTGACCTCAGGTGATCCATCCACCTCGGCCTACCAAAGTGCTGGGATTACAGGCGTGAGCCATGGCATCTGGCCTTTTTTTTTTTTTTTTTTTTCTTTATGAGAGATGGGGTCTTGCTCTGTTGCCCAGACTGGTCTCAAACTCCTGGACTCAAGCAGTTCTTCTGCCTCACCAGTTTGTAGTAATGTAAGAGTTACCATAGGGCTTGTTCTGGAACTGGGGAGACGGTGTTGGAAAACAACCTTTCCATTAGTAATTTTTAGTCCCCAGTACCAACAGTGACGTCCTAGTGTGTAAGAAGAATAAAGAGATAAGAAAAGGAGAAAAAAATAAGAAAGAAAAAGAAAGAAAAGAAAGAAAAGAAAGGAAGAAAGAAAGAAAAAAAAGAAAAGAAAAGAAGATATAGAACAGCTAAGACATAGGAGTATCTACCCAGGCAAGGGTAATGCTCACCTGTTTAGTTAGGGTAGGCAGACAAAAGATCCCCAATATGCTCATCCTATAAAAAGCCAGCCTGTTCATGGAAGGCCACACAGCCTGACAGCCTAGGAGAATTTTGTCATTGTGGGAGGTCCCAGTGGACCAATAATAAGAATAAAGAAATGTACCTGGTGCTTGAATTCTGCTAGCTGGAAACCAAGGTGAAAGTGAAGATCAGAGATATTGTTTCCTAAAATATAACCCTTTTCCTTTATTTTCTATGGACTGATAGCATCTTTAGTATAGATTGACAGAATTTTTTTTTAAACCATAGCTTTTAAGGGGGCTTATGGAACTTGAAGTTTATTACATTTCTGATACTAACATGGTTTTATTATCATAGATTTACACAATTCTAAAGGCAGGTGGGACTTAATTATCTCTTTTGGCTGGCCGCAGTAGCTCATGCATGTAGTCCCAGCACTATCTGTGCTTTAGCTAAGATACTCTGTGAGACTGCTCTAGCATAAGAAGCATTTAGAGCATTAATGGAGTATAAGTCAGAAGGCATGAAATATTCCATCCCATTCTACCTGGTGGTAAGAACTTAGGTCATTTAAACCCTTTAGCCTGGAGAGAGGGAGAGAGAAAGAGATTATTATTATTATTATTATTATTATTATTATTATTATTATTATTTTGGGATGGATTCTCACTCTGTCACCCAGGCTGGAGTGCAGTGGCATGATCTCGGCTCACTGCAACCTCCGCCTCCCAGGCTCAACTGATCCTCCTGCCTCAGCCTTCCAAGTAGCTGGGACCACAGATGCGCGCCACCATGCCGGGTTAATTTTTGTATTTTTTGGTGGAGATGGGGTTTTGCCACCTCTACCTCAGCCTCCCGAAGTGCTGGGATTACAGGCATGAGCCGCCACTGACCCAATGTTTTTTTGTTGTTGTTTTCAATTTTATTTTTGAAACAGGGTCTTGCTCTGTCACCGAGGCTGGAGTGCAGTGGTGAAATCATGGCTCACTGCAACCTCCACTTACCAGGCTCAAGCAGTCCTCCCACCTTAGCCTCCTGGTTAACTGGGACTACAGGTGTGCACCACCACGCCCAGCTAATTTTTGTATTTTTTTTTGTAGAGACAGGGTCTCTCCATGTTGCCCAGGGTGGTCCTGAACTCCTGGCCTCAAGCGATCTGCCCACCTTGGCCCCCCAAAGTGCTAGGATTACAGGCATGAGCCCTCATGCGCAGCCTCAGCCCAATGTTTTGATACTGGCTTGTGTTCCTTGAGTATACATTAGCTAGTTAGAGTAAGAGGAGTTGCCCCAGTGGCCAAGAGTTGGTTAGACTTAAGAAGGCTTGGAGATGTTTAGCTACATGGCCTTCAGCAACAACCAGAAATAAGGCTGAGAGCATGAGCCAAAAAGAGAAGAAAATTTAGGGCAACAAGAAAGGGTGGGGGAGACATAAAAGAGAATACATGTTTACATCAAAGTAACTAAAGATTTCAGTCTTTATGTCTGTATATAAACAAAAGCAAAGATGCAGGGGTGAGACTGGAGCTCCTGGGCAAGCTGTGTTGCCTTGGGTTTATCAGGAGGGACAATCTGAGCATTTTGCACAATGGAATCCTTCTTGTTTGCTTGCTTCGTTCCCCATTCCAGTTTTTTCCCCCTCCTTTTATTGTCTCTTCTTTCCCTGTCCCATTCCCACCTCAACCAATCTTTCCAATCCCCAAAGAACAGAGCAGTTTGGTTGGTATAGGCTAGAAGATAGCCTTTTACCTTCTGTGTGGTTTCCTGTGGAGTCTCATGGCCTCGTGAGTGGAAGAAGCTTTTTGTGAATCTGGGATGAAAATTACCTGTGGCTTAAGGGGAAGAAGGAAGAGGTATTTTCCTTAGTCTCAATACCCTTTTGTGTGAAGGAAAAAGGGATGGTCCTGGCGGCCTAGGTAGAGGTTATACGTGTTCTTTTTTCCCTGTAGAATTTTGCACATTGGTCCTTAGCTACGCTATCCTTTTTAGGAGGAAGAATGGTGTTTTCTGAGGAAGAGTTAGGCCAGCCCTTGGAGGCAAGGTCTGGGCCCAGAACAGAATGGGAAACAAGGGGAGCCTTGAATAAACAGCAAATTATTAACTGTAGGCCTTCTTTCAAAAGGCTGAAGGCTATTTTGGTTGAATTTGGATCTAAAAGATTGTTGGTGGAACTTTCTGTTTTATGTTCCTTCTGTACCCTTCTACTTCTTTTCTCCTCTGCAGAGTTGAAGGCGTGACAGTGAGATATTGAGGGCCTCCAATTCTTTTTCAACAACATTCAACTAATACTTAAAAACTGCTAGGTGCTAGGGACACAAGGGTGAACATGACAGGTGCAGTGCCTCCTTCCATAGAGCTTACAGGCTAAAAGAAGATGCATATGAATGAAGGCAATTTCAGAAATCTTGCCATAGGGCTTCGATGAGGAAGAGCAGCGTCTATGGGAACACAGTGTAGGGACCTAAGCTGAAGGCATTGCAGGGGAGGGGAAGGGGGCTTAGAGCTGGAGACAGCACACCTGTATCATTTAGGGATTACCCAGTGAAGCTCTAGCATGGCCACGCTCTATGATCATTGCTACCACCTGCTGAATATTCCTGGCATAAGATGCCAGCATTTTTGCCTTCCTTAATTACTGGGTAGTTACTAGGTTTAGGGAGCTGAGATTCCTTGGGGAGTAAGTGGCAGGCGGGAAAAAAAATGTGTTTTAAGACGGCCAACCCAAATTACAATTTTGTTTTATTAGCTTGAGGATTTAGATGAACGTCTATCACCTTAAGATCTCTGGGGCTTAACTGTGTTCCCGTCACTGTGCCTTTTGAGGGCAGTGGCATGTTTTACCAGGAATTGTCCATTTTGCTACAAGCTGAGATGTACTGGGATTGGGCTCTTCCTCGGTGTAGCAGATTGAAATTTCTAGTAGTATTGTCAATCTGGAAAAAATTGAGTACATATCCCAAGTAAATGTTCACCTACAAGACTATTGCCTTACTATTAATACATCTAACACTTTTATTTACATAATAAGATAGGCAAACATATATTTTCCTCACTCTAACAGATGGATGCATGCCCCCCGCTTAGAGACCGCTGCTCTAAAGCACGGTGGCGTTAGGGGGATGTGGAGGACTAGGTGAGTGAAGATGGGATGGAACAGATGTGAGAGGAAGATGGGCAACTGGGTTCTTTGAGATTTTTCTTCCCTATCTTTAGAGCTTATAGTCTGTTCTGGAATATCAATTTTTAGGAGCTCCTCCACTTGAGGTTAGAAGCATAACCTCTATTTTCCTCTTTCTTTGTGCCCTCTGCCCTGTAGCCATCATCTCTTGCCCCAACTCTACTAAGGATGGCAAATAAGTGACCCTAATAACAGTGATCTGGGCATGGCCTCAGAGATTAACATTCTGTGGTCCACTCTGCCTACCAAATTTTGGGCAGATGGATTAGCACTAACTAATTCACGATGTGAGAAGGACTCAAGCCAAAAGTGTCCTCCCTCTGCCCCTCCCCATCCCCCACCACAGGGAACTCCACTTTGCATCCTAGGAATTCCCTGTCTGGTTTGAGTTTCATGCCTAGGGCTGAATTAGGCTTCTTGTAGGCTGTGGGTTCTCTCTTCCTAGCCCAGCCCAGGCTCTGCCAGTTCTTTTCTACTTAGCCCTCCTTGCCTAGAGCTGGGCTTCTGGGTTCACTGTCATAATGCTGTCCAGCTGGGGTCAGAGGGATCTTCACGAGGAGAGTAGCTAAGGCTTCCCCAACCTGGAAGCAGGAGGCTTCCCCTTCCTGCTTTCTCTCCTGGAGCCCTTTATGCTCCATTCCTTTGACAACTCAGCAGCAACTGTTGCAAGTTTTTTGGGGGTCTGATTTGGTTTTTAACCTTCTCATTCTTGGCTTACATTGGACCATTAGCTGTTGGGAAGAAAAATAGCATTCCCTCCTTGGGTGAAGCAGATACTGCATCTACCGAAAGTGGGGCTTTCATTCTTATTATTTAGCTCCAAGGTGGGAATATGACACCAGATGGAAGCACATTCATGAAGTACAGAAGGTGGCAGAGTGGCAGAGCAGAAAGCTAACTAGAGAGCTCTAGGGAGACTTTTTTCCCTGGGCCACAGTTGCTGTTTTCAAAAAAAGGCCAAGAGCAGGGGGCGGGATAAAGGGAAGCATGCCCTGAGGAAGCGGCCCACCTTGGGAAGGGTTTTGCTGACCAGAATGAGAAAAGAAGCATTGTTCTCCAAGTTCATCATCCTCTGGCTGTGACCTTGAATCAACTGCTTTATCTCTAGGAGCTGGAAGTCTAGCAGATAGGGAGCAAATCTCCAAGCCATGCGTGTATTAAACTGGAGGTGCTGAAGCAGGGAAACTGCTGTATACTCGGAAGAGTAGCATTCGGTTATTAGCCAGAGATGGCTAGATCTTGCATGGCCCTATTTTGATTTTAAGTTACTCCTCCCCCTCAGTCCCCAAATCCAGGGTTGTTGGGGTTTTTTAAAATTAATTTTAACTTTTTTTTTTTGAGATGGAGTCTGGCTCTGTTGCCCAGGCTGGAGTGCAGTGGCGCAATCTCAGCTCACTGCAAGCTCCGCCTCCCGTGTTCACACCATTCTCCTGCCTCAGCCTCCCGAGTAGCTGGGACTACAGGCGCCCGCCACCACACCCAGCTAATTTTTGTATTTTTAGTAGAGACGGGGTTTCACTGTGTTAGCCAGGATGGTCTCGATCTCCTGACCTCATGATCCGCCCGCCTCGGCCTCCCAAAGTGCTGGGATTGCAGGCGTGAGCCACCACACCCGGCCTTTTTTTTCTTTTTTTGAGACAGGGTCTTGCTCTGTTGCCCAGGCTGGAATGTAGTGGCAAAATCACGGCTTACTGTAGCCTCAACCTCCTGGGCTGAGGCCATCCTCCTGCCTCAACCTCCTGAGTAGCTGGGACCACAGGCACACGCCATCATGTCCAGCTAATTTTTTTTATTATTTGTAGAGACAGAATCTTTCCGTATTGCCCCGGCTGGTCTCGAACTCCTGAGCTCAAGCTATCCTCCCACCTTGGCCTCCCAAAATTCTGGGATTACAGGCATGAGCCACCAAACAAAACCCAAATCCTTTTAAGGAAGGACTTAAAAGGTATTCTGCTGTCTGTCCTTCTCAAGTTCCAAAAGAGGACAGCCTTCAAATCAACCCAGAGAAAATTCTCCCTGGTACTATATGAGTGGGAGAAGATTCTGCTGCCTCCTTTGGCAAGGTGTCATAACTCAGACAGCTGGGAAGTCCCTCCTGATGTCTACCCTAGCCCCACCCTTTCTGGGGCTGAGCTGGTTCTGATAAGTAGTGCCTCTGCCGATGTCGTTGGCCCTTCCCTGCTGGAGCTAAGCCACTGAGGGTTGGGCTGCATTTCTCCTCCCAGGCCCTAGGTCCTGCACACTCATGGCAGACACAAATATTCCACTGCTGTTTATTCTATGTTCCCACCCAGCCTGGGCAGGGGCCGTGCACCTCCCCAGCATGGGGTGGGGGTGATGACTTCACAGCTAAACATTCTCTTTGCCTCTCCCAGCTCATGTGTTCAGTCTGGTTCATAGGGCCAGAAGTACTCCCACTCTGGGTGGGGCTTTCTCTCTCATGTTCTTGAGGACAAGATTTCCCCTCAGTTTCCTGAGGAATTTCTAGGGGAAACCCTTTTCCTGTGTTTCCAGCATTCTCTCCCTGCCAAGTTTTCCTTCCCCTCTCCAGGAGGTTGTGTGAGCATCTGAGAAACCACTGCAGAGATCAGGGCCTTTTAGAGCCTTTTCCCAGGCTGGACAAGTATTTGTGTGAAATTACAGCTGCTGAGATCAGGGCCTGAAAGACTCTCTAGGGCAGAAAGAATTGGAATGGAAAGCCCAAAACTGGGGATTGGCCGAGCTCCCAGTCCCACATGGCTTTCCCATGCCTCACCACATGTCAGAGAGGATTCCCAAGGCTACTACAGCTAAGAGCCTTGACCTGCCCCGCCTTGCTGCAGGGCATACTGGGAACTGAGACAGCCACTTGACTTCTTAAGGTTGCTATTGTACAAGCTCAGGGTGACTTAAGGTGGAACACATAGATGAGTAGAAAATGGCAAAAAAAAGAAGCAAGCAAGTGACTTTGAGAGCATTTAGGTAAGAACAAGCCCTGACTTTTTATGTTTTCCATAGTGTATGTCACTTCATTTGCTTGGGTCCAAAAAAGGCCATAAGAAAGGTTTTATTGAGTACAAAATTCATAGGTTTGGACTCTGATGAACCTGATGGCGATGTTACCATCCCTGAGGCCAGGAAGAAAAAAGACAGGACTAATCCACCCCAATTGTAGACAGTGGGAACAGCGCTGGCTTGCTTAGAGGTACAGAGGAAAGCAGCATGCAACCCTGCCCCGTGGTGAAGGAAGTAGGGTGGCCAACCATCCCGGTTTGCCCGGGACTGAGCGGGGTTCCCAGGAGGCAGAAACTTCAGTGCTAAAACCTGGCAAGTCCTAGGCAAACCAGGACAAGTTAGTCACACTAGATTGAAGCCTCAGCTGAGTGCAGCTGCCTCCATGTCCCAGCGTCCTCTGTATCTAGGTTGGCATCCAGTGGCCCTCTGTGGGGTGGCATAGACTCTGCCACTTAATAAGCTCAAGTAGTCATACCCCTGCCAGGCCTTAGTTTGCTTCTATGTCAAATTGGGTTAATAGTAGCTACCAGGTAGGGGTTTGTGATGCTTGAATGAGAAGGCATGAATGTGCCTGGTGAGGCATCTGGCACATAGTAATCACTTAAATGTTAGCAATCTTAGTTATCACTCATTCATTCAGTTCATTCTACAAATTTGTGTGTGTACAATGTGCTGGGCAATGCTGTAGGCCTGAGGAACAAAGATAAAAATCCTGCCCTTGTGGAGGAGGTGGACAAACAATAAATGAATGTGTCCTATTATATGCTAGGTGAGAAGACCTGTGGAGGGAAATGATTGAGCAGGATGAGGGGGATCAAGAGTGCCAGGTAAATACAGTGGTCAGGGTAGGCCTCACTAAAAAGAAGATGTTTGTACAAAGACCTGAGGGAGGTGAGGAAGTGAGCCCTCTCCAACAAAGAGGAATCTGGGCAGAGGGAACAGCTTGTGCAGAGGCCCTGATGTAGATGCCTGTCTAGTGCGTTTAGAGAACAGCAGGCAGGCTGGTTGGGCCAGATCTCAGTGAACATGGAGAAACTAGTAGGAGATAAGGACTGGGGGGCTGGGGGAGTCATAAGGGTCCTGGAAGCCCATCATTAAGTCCTTGGTGCCTAGTTTTACTCTAAGTAAAAGCCAGAGGGTTTTGAGCAGATGAATCGCATGTACTGCCTTGGATCTTAAAAAAGATCATTCTGGCTAATACATTGAGAAGAGACTAAGAACAGGAGAGGGAGGGTGGAGGCAAGGAGACCAGTTAGAAGATGATTGCTATAATCCAGATGAGAGAGGATGGTTTAGACCAGGATGATAACAGTGAAAATGGAAAGTGATTGGACTTTAGATATATTTTGAAGCTGATAGGATTTCTCAACTACATGATATAGGAGATGGGGGCTGGGCATCAAAGATGATTACAGGGTATTAGCATGAGAGCAGAGAGGGACAGGTAGCCCTGTTCTCTGCCCCTCATATGTCCCTCTTTTTGGGAGGGAGGGTTTCATTAGGCTATTGGGGTGCACCTTATGATCTTTAATATCTGATGTCTTGGTTTGCCCTCATAATCATCTACTAAACCTTGGTAAGAAGGAAAGGGCATCTACTCCCTTTACATTGTGAATCCTGCTTTTTTGAGAAGCGTCCCAGGTAGCTTAACAAATTACCAGCACTCCTGCCAGCAAGCCTGGCTCTCCAGCACAGCAGACCCAACTTGGCACAGCCTTGCCATCTCTGGTCCCTGGGGAGAAAGGACCAGCAAGGCCCTGCCCCTTTGGCAAGTCTGCCTCTGCCTGTCTGGGGCTAAAGATTCCCTGCCCAGAACACTCCTTTCCCAGGCTCTGGCTTTCCCTCCTACTGGGAACCTGACTTCTCAGGCTGGTGGGGCAGGGAGTCTCTGGGGAGCAACCCAATTTGCTTCTAGAGGTTTGGCCAAACCTCACAGCTCTGCGGGGCTCAGCTGTGCCCCTAAGCTGGAGGCCAGGGTGATGTGCTTGGGCACTGGGAGTCAGGAGACCCTGGATAAGCCATCAGGCACCACTTCCCTAACCAGCCCCTGTGTCTCTCTCCTAAGCACTAGCAAGTGAATGTGGTCTCAAAAGAGGGCCCTCACACCCCTAACTGCATAGGTGTGGATGCTAGTTCATCCCCTGCCCCCCCACTTTCATCTCCCACCCCCCACATCTACCTTCCCAGACAGATGAGTATCTTATGTATGTCTCCTGATGCTTTTTGTTTTATAGGATAGGGAAATGGAGGCCATCCCAAACTCTGCAAATAATGCTCCCTTGGGTACCTATTTTCCCATTTTCAAAATCTTTATCTGTTCAGATGTCTTCCTCAGGTCCTAACCCAAATCTCTCCTTTTGACATTTAAGGTAACACTCCTGGGTTCTTTTTTGAGACAGAGTCTCTCTCTCGCCCAGGCTGGAGTGCAGTTGCATGATCTCAGCTCACTGCAACCTCTGCCTCCCAGATTGCAATTCTCTTGCCTCAGCCTCCCTAGTAGCTGGGATTACAGGCATGCGCCACCACACCCAGCTAATTTTTTTGTATTTTTAGTAGAGATGAGGTTTCACCGTGTTGGCCAGGCTGGTTTCAAACTCCTGACCTCAAGTGATACACCCACCTTGGCCTCCCAAAGTGCTGGGATTACAGGCATGAGCCACCACGCCCGGCCCACTCTTGGGTTCTATTCAGTGAAGATTTTCAGTGAAGAGTAGACATTTGCCTGTATACCACGTCTGCATTCCTTCCTCAGCAACAGAATAGCCCTTCACATTGACTAAAGTGTAAAGAAGGCCTCTGGCATCCAAGTCCTTTGCCTCCGTTTTGTCCCTGCAGCCTCCATCATCCACTTCTTGTTCTCTCTGTGAAGCTCAGTTGAAGTTCCCTTCCTCTGATTCTGACCCTCCTCAGCTGCTAACCTTTTTTCAAGACAAAAGTCACCCTACCCTGCCTCTGGGAAACCCTTCAAACCGGCAACCAACAGCTTCCAGTGCCAAAACCAGGACTAATTTGCCTCAGCGTGTAAACAACTTGAACACCAACTGGCATTAATCACCATGGTAGGATTGCCCCTCTTCCCTTCAAGGGTAGCCCCACCTGGGGACCCATGAAAGGACCCAAATATAAGGAAAGCACTGAGAATAATTCTGCCTATCTCTTGTCCCTCTGGGAAAGTGCGTAGAGAGTAGGTGTGGTATGTATGTGGTGCATGTTCTGTGTGTGTGTGTGTCATATATCTGTGTGGTATGTATTGTGTATGTGGTTTGTGTTTGGTGTGTATGTGTCTGTATATTGTGTATAAGGTGTGTGATGTGAGTGGTGTATGTGGTTTGTGGTGTGTATGTGTCTGTATAGTGTGTGTGGCATGTGGTGTGTGTACACACAGGTATGTAAGCAAACGTATGTTGGTAGGGAGGATGCTGCTAATCAAGTACTGCGTGGCATCTGAAAACTTTGTGGCCCCACCTTTCTTGTTCTCTTTTTATTCAATCTGAGTAGTAGTACTTCCCTTAGTACCTACTTAGTCCTTAGTAGAATGGTAGTATCTCTCAGTGGTGTGTGTTTGTGCCTCTGTGAGTGTGTGTACATGCATACACCTAGGCACACAGGTGTGTATATGTGTGTGACAGAAGAGGGGCACATGTGCTTAAAGGGAATGCCCACAAGTTATAGTCTTAAAGACTCTGCCCTGATGCTCCCCTAAAGCTCCTGGATCTTAGAATTAGGACACATGTGTGGGCTCTGCCTCCATCTTGCATGACCTTGAGCAAGGAGCTTGTTCTTCCTGGCCTTTGTGTGTGAGCCAATGGATGGCAGCTCACTCTGCTTTTAAATCACTGCAGCATTTACCTGTTAATATGACATAAAAGTTCTATGTGAATCCCAAGAACCACTTTAATATTTAATGTTCTCAGAGCTGGAGCCTGGGGCATACTCAATCAGTAGCAGATAAGATTTTATGTCTGGTTAAGAATTTATCCAGCTTATACTTGTTACTAAGATAAGTGAGTGGTCCCATGGCTGACTAGTTTCATTTTGCCCATTTTTAGACTGAAAGTTCCACCCTCTCTAAGTCCTGGGCAGATTAGGATGGTTGTCTCTAACTGGATCTCATACTTGAGCAAATCAGGAAGGAAAGGGTCTTTTTTATTTATTTTATTTTAGAGACAAGGTCTCATTTTGTTGCCCAGGCTGGAGTGCAATGACGTGATCACTGCTGCTCACTGCAGCCTCAAACTCCTGAGGTCAAAACAATCTTCCCACTTCGGCTTCCTGAGTAGCTGTGACTACAGGTGCACCACATCATGCCTGGCTAATTTTTGTCTTTTTTGTGGAGACAAGGTTTCACCATGTTGCCCAGGCTGGTCTCGAACTCCTAAACATAAGCAATTCACCCACCTTGGCCTCCCAAAGTGCTAGGATTACAGACGTGAGATACCATGCCTGGCCTCTTTATTTTATTTATTTTTGAGACAGCGTCTCTCTCTGTTGCCCAGGCTAGAGTGTAATGACATGATCATGGCTCACTGCCACTTCAAAACTGCCTTTTATCATTTTCCTTTTTTCCTACATTCATTCATCCACTCCTATCTCCTTTTCAGGTCTGTCTGGGAACCCTGCAGATCTGGAGAAACGTAGGCAGGTGTTTGGACACAACGTGATCCCCCCCAAAAAGCCCAAGACTTTCTTAGAATTAGTGTGGGAAGCTCTTCAAGATGTCACGCTTATCATCCTGGAGATTGCAGCCATCATCTCCCTGGTCCTGTCCTTTTATCGCCCTGCTGGTGAAGAAAATGAACGTGAGTGTCCTAAACAGCTCAGCGTGACTCTTATCTGGGTTCTTTCCACCACCACCACCAAGCGCTTAGTATTGGTGGCTGACAGGTTATAGCTTAAAACATTTCCCCCATTATCCAGAGTGGGCTTTCCAAAGGAAACCAAGCAGTAGCTACTAAGCTATTCTTCCAACTCATCCTTATTCCAAGGGTTCCTCCCCACCCCACCCTCACCCTCTGTCTTCTATTAAATCCTTTTTCGGAATGTCAGGAATCCTCTACCCTTTTAAGACATTTTATTTATTTATTAATTATTATTATTATTATTATTTTAATGGAATCTTGCTCTGTCACCCAGGCTGGGTGCAGCAGCTTAATCTGGGCTCACTGCAACCTCCTGGGTTCAAGCAATTCTCGTGCCTCGGCCTCCTGAGTAGCTGGGATTACAGGCGTGTGCCATCACGCCTGGCTAATTTTTGTATTTTTAGTAGAGACAGGGCCTTACCATGTTGGCCAGACTGGTATCAAACTCCTGACCTCAGGTGATCCACCCGCCTTGGCCTCCTAAAGTGCTGGGATTACAGGCGTGACCCACTTGCCTGGCCTATTTAATAATTTTTACAACATAGAGACAAGGTCTCACTATGTTGCCCAGGTTGGTCTCAAACCCCTGGGGTCAAGCGATCTGCCTGCCTTGGCCTCCCAGAGTGCTGGGATTGCAGGTGTGAACCAACACCCCCAGCCAGGAATTCTCTACCCTTATCCAACCAACAAAACCCTACATCTCAAAGTGCCCCCTGCCACCAATTGTCTGGCATGATGGGAAACAGTAGTGAAAGCCTGACCATGTTGGGAACCATAAGTGTGACCTTACATGTGACTTCCCTAAATTTGATAGTTTGTACTATTTAGTCATTTGCCTCTTTTGGATTAACATAAATAGTTACACTAGTGATAAGACAATACTCAATCCTGCTATCCTCTGATATCCTCTTCCAGCCAACAGTTGTATTTGCTATTATTCACTTTTCCTGACTTTCTATCTTGGGGTGATTGTGGAAGCACTACTCCTATTTCTTAATGTCAACAAAAGCCCTTCAGTGACTATTTCTCTCCCTTCCTGGGATAGTGTGTGGTCAAGTCGCAACTACCCCAGAAGATGAAAATGAGGCACAAGCTGGCTGGATTGAGGGGGCAGCCATCCTTTTCTCAGTGATCATCGTGGTGTTAGTGACTGCCTTTAATGATTGGAGCAAAGAGAAGCAATTCCGGGGGCTGCAGTGCCGCATTGAACAGGAGCAAAAGTTCTCCATCATCCGAAACGGTCAACTCATCCAGCTCCCTGTGGCTGAGATTGTGGTTGGTGATATTGCCCAAGTCAAATACGGTGAGAGCTCCGTGTTTCTTTTGCTTACCCCACCACCACCCCCATTTAAGGGATAGGTCCTTTGGCATGAGGGGGCTGGGAATTGCTGAAAACCCAAAAAGATAAGATCCAAAATTGTATTCACTTCTAGGTTAGAGTTTAAAGAGGTTGTGGGAAGCCATTTCAGAAAGGAGTAGCTGAAACTCTGTCGCAAGATTGTCAGACTTGTACCCTGTGTGTCTTAGGGTTAAAAGTGTATAACATTCAGGCCATGGAAAGGTGTTGGGGATGAATAAGAGTTTGAATTTATAATGCCTGGAAAGCAACCTTCTCCCAGATTGTACAGAGCTGAAGACTTGTAAAGAGTCTCCATGTACTCTCGGCCATTGCTGTCTAGATAGGGCCCATGGGAACAGCCATGAGATAGGGTTGAAGGAGTTGGAGGACCCTACCCTCAGCCAGTCTCTTACTATCTCCTTCACTGTCCCTCCTTCCCCTTTGTGCTCTAGGTGATCTGCTGCCTGCAGATGGAATCCTGATCCAAGGGAATGATCTGAAGATTGATGAGAGCTCTCTGACAGGGGAATCTGACCATGTCAAGAAGTCCCTGGACAAAGACCCCATGTTGCTCTCAGGTATAGGCCCTGGCTGCCCAAGTTCCCATTTACCTCCCTGCAAACACCTAGGCCACAGGATCCAGACCCTGTTCTCTCCTCTGACTCTGTCCCATCTCCTTCCCTGGGGTTCAGCTGGGGCAACAGCATTTTGGTGGGTGGAATACAAGGATATCAGGCAGCCTAAATGAAGTTTTCCATGAAACAAGTGTTATAAGGGCCTTGAAGGGGCTTTGCTGGTTGCAGGGGTGGCGGGGGCAGGAGGGAGGGCTTACCCTAAAGCGGTTAGACACATTTTCCTCCTTACTCCCAATTTGTCTGGTCTGTTTTAAATGCGCCCAGCTCTTGACCTTTTCCTACTGTGCTAAGCACATCATTATCCATGGGGTAGGGAGGAGTATTTTTTCTTCTAAGTTTGTGTTTCATACCAAATCATGTCTAGGTATTAAAAAACCCATTCCTTCCCATCTTCTCCTTTCCCGTGTAGGGACCCATGTCATGGAAGGTTCTGGCCGGATGGTGGTGACAGCTGTTGGTGTCAACTCTCAGACTGGAATCATCCTTACTCTCTTGGGGGTCAATGAGGATGACGAAGGGGAGAAAAAGAAGAAAGGTAAGGGGCATCTGGAATGAGATTCTCTTTCCTCTCATCCCCATGGACAAACAAGGAAGCGAGGGAGCAGATCTGGATAGAAAGCATGGTTGGAAGAATCTGCTGCCATGAAGAAAGCAGATATCCAAACTCCTTGCTGAGATAAAGATGTAAATCCTTGGCTCCAGGGAGCTCTGATGAAAACCAGATCCTGGCTCTAGGCTCCCAAATCAGGTTGAATTTGAGCCTTGATTTTTATGTCTAATGGTAGCTTGTAAAGGGATGAGTTATAAAGCCTGCCCTAAATAAACTGGCTAGGTGCTGGTAGCCCCAAATGCCTTCCGTGTACTCCCCCTCCTTCCCCAACTTTCTTCCTCAAAGATGGGGGGTTAAACGAACCATCAAGACTAAGAGAAAATTGGCCAGAAGAGTAAAATAGATTTCTGCCGAAACTGTAGGCTCTCAATGGAAGAGACACACAGCTAGAAGAGTAGGAACAGTTAGTTCAGTCTTTGCCACTCAGTTATTCCTGAAGGAAAGAATAAGAGGGAGAAAGAGGAGAAGATACTAAAACCAAGTCTACACGTTTCCCTAAGCATTCCTTCTTCCCTTAGGGGAGAGAAGGTTTCTACCACTTGGCTGGAGAATCATCTTGAGCTGTTTAGTGGAGGACAGTTTATGAAAAGGAAACAAAACACATTCTCTCAGGAACTAAATAATTCATTTCTGCAGCTGCCTGCAGATGAATAAGGGGGAAGCTTGCCTGGTGCTGTTGAAGTAACACGGAGACACCTTTCAAAGTCTTTGCCATCAGGCAGAAACGGTTCAAACCTCTCACTTCCTAATCCCCACCCCATTTTTCCAAGCAATGTGACTCAGGCCAGGAGCAAGAGAAAGCACCTCAGGTATGAGTATGCACTCACCTACATGAGCGTTTTGGTGGATATCCCGAGGATTCATGACAGCCTCTAGCAAGAATGAATGAAAACAGAGATGTGAGCTTCCTTTACATTTATGTCCCTTCCCTGCAACCCAAACACTTTGCTGTTGTCCTTCTGGGCTCTGAGCAGGACCAACAAATTGGATCTCTTAATAGTTACTTTGGGTTTCGACCCCACTTTTTTCTTTCTTGTTCAAACAGGTAAAAAACAAGGAGTCCCTGAAAATCGCAACAAAGGTAACCTCTCCAACTACTCATTTACCATCTCTACCTGCCCACACTCAAACCAGACCTTTCCAGGCCATCTTCCTTCTCCCTTTTCCTCTCCATAAATCTGTTATCTGCTGCTGTGGCTCAGATGCCTCATCCTGAGGAAGGTGCAGAGATTTTTGGGGTGGTCTCAAGGTCCTGATCCCAATCTAAGATGGGACAACAGCACCCTCTGCTGTTGGCTCACAGAATGTCATGTCAAGGTTTGTCTTGGGGAGTGTGTAGGATTGATCTGCTCTTCCTAGGGAGCTGAACTCTGCTTCATTGACCTCAGCCTGATTTAAACACCAACAGTCATCAGTTTCTGGGTTGGAAGACTTCAGGGTCCTCATGGTGGAGGGAGGTGGGGTGGGTAGTCCCTGCACCGTCCTCTTGCTAGCTTCCTCATAAGTGTCCTCTTCTGGTCTGGATCCCTTCTCTGCTGGTCTTCTCAGGGGTGCTTGGAGAGAGCCCTTTCTCTGTATCTCTCTCCCCACCTCCCTTCTTTGTTCTTGCCACAGTCTGTTTTCTTCCTCCTGATCTGATGTGTGTGTCTCTTTTGGTGACTGTGTTCACATTCTGTCTCCGTCTTCTTGTTTGTGAGTCTGACAGCAGGGACTACTCAGGAAGGGTATCCTAAGCAAGGGGCTGAGCCCTATAGCAGTGAAAGTGGAGTGGTGCTGGGAGCCAGCAAGAACTACTGTCTTGTGACGCTCCTAGAGATTTGTTTTTACTTTGTAACCCACATCACAGCAGTCTTTAGAAATAAAGTCATCACATTGGAAAACCAGAGCTAAACAGAAATAATTCTTTAATTTTAGGTCTTTAACTCTTCTTTTAAAAGCAAAATGGATTTATATGTCTCTCTTTATCCCTGCTTTCTCTTATTCCAGGAGGTCCCTCACACCAGCTTCTTCCCTCTTCCCCAAAAGACTTAACCCCAGGTCCCACTCTGTATCTCTCTACCTTTGTCAGGCAGGGAAGAAAGGGAATTTTCTTTTCCTATCCTCAACTGCTAGAAGGGGCTGGAAAATACCCTGGGTCTGGGGGTATGTGTTTCTTCCCTGACAATCGAGAGAGAGAGAGAGAGAGAGAGAGAGAGAGAGATAAACCATTTAACAGAGCAATCTTGTGCTCCAGAAACATCTGCCAACCCTCTCCTTCAGCCCCTTTCTGCAGTAAAGATTCACTATTTTAAGCACTGAGTTCCAGGAAGGATGGTTGTTTTAATAGTGCTTAGTGACATGATTAATCCCCTTGCTGGAATAAACCTAGCTTGGGACTCTGAGGTAGTACCAGGAAGCTGCCACTGAAGAAGAAATCCATACCCTAAAAGCACCCCAGTTTCATCTAAACTCATTAGAATATTATTCCAAAGGCCCTAATAGAGTGTTGAAGGCAAGTTCCATGTCTAGCATGGGTTGGAAGTGGTCGGAACTGATGTCAGGGTCCAAGGTATATTCCGGGAAAGAGACAGGAAGGTTTTCTGGTTTCCACCTGCCTGCCACTCAGTGCTACCACCTTGCCTGCTCACCTGTCCTATTTGTGTGTACACTCCAGCAAAGACCCAAGACGGAGTGGCCCTGGAAATCCAGCCACTCAACAGCCAGGAGGGAATCGACAATGAGGAAAAGGACAAGAAGGCAGTCAAGGTGCCTAAAAAGGAGAAGTCAGTGCTGCAGGGCAAGCTGACTCGCCTGGCTGTTCAGATTGGGAAAGCCGGTGAGTAGGGTAGAGCCTCGTTGTGGTTTATCAATGTTGTCTTGGATCCTCATCACTTTTATCCCCTTCTTTCTGCACCGACCGAGACTGGCAGAAAGAAGCTGAAACTTCAGGGTGGCTAGTTGGGGCTAGGCGGCTGTTTCCCTATCTCCGCCACTGTTTGGTCGCTCCCTAGGCTTTTTCAGAGAGAAATGTTTTCCTGTGTGTAAGGGTTAATGGCCCTGAGATCTCTTAATCCAAATGAATGAGAAACAAAGAGCATATATTACAGCAGGGGAGATTTACATTAGCAAGAAGGAAGACTTTAATAACTGCTTACCTGTCTCTTGCTTTGGGTTGTAAATTCCTTAAAGATAGAGAAGGCTGCAGCTTGCTACAGGCAATTCTCTAGCATAGGAGTAGGATCTGGCTAAGCACAGAGCAATAAATACCAAGTAAGGACTGGAGGAAGAAGGAAGGCTGTGGTTACAGAGGCTCTCTCCAGAAGAGAGGTAACTAAATAATGCACTCTGCATATGAGGAAGTGGCTTCTCCATCACTTGCCTCTACATTTTCCTGTCTCACCACCTTCTTTCAATGGAGGGGGAGAAAGGGGAGTGGGAAGAAGAAATAGAAGATTGCTACTTTAGTGGACATATCTCTCAAGGAACAGTCTTTTTTTTTTTTTTTTTTTTTTTTTTTTTTTGAGATGGCGTCTTCCTCTGTTGCCCAGGATGGAGTGCAGTGGCACCATCTCAGCTCACTGCAGACTCTACCTCCTGGGTTCAAGCGACTTTCCTGCCTCAGCCACCCAAGTAGCAGGGACTACAGGTGCACACCACCAAGCCCATCTAATTCTTGTATTTTTAGTAGAGATGGGGTTTCACCATGTTGGCCAGGCTGGTCTCGAACTCCTGGTCTCAAGTGATCCGCCCACCTCGGCCTCTCAAAGTGCTAGGATACAGGCATAAGCCACCGCACCCTGCCAGAGAGTAGTTTTTTACCACTGTTTATTCTCTGATTCCACCTTTCTGTTTACCACAATCATAATCAGCACATCTCTGCACTTTATACAGCTGTATACAACTTACCTCGGGTTCTTGTTAAAGTGTAGATTCAGTTCAGGGGGTCTGGTGTGGAGCCCGAGATTCTGCATTCCTAATAAGCCCCCACAGGATGCCAGCACCGCTGATTCAGTTTGCACACATTGGATGGCAGGGATCTATGCTGCCCACCATAGCAGCCACTCACCACATGTGGCTGCTGCAATTTAAATTAATTAAAAGTAAATAAAGTTAAAAATCCAGTTGCTGGGGTAAATTTTAGTTGGTCACGAGCCACATGTGCTAGTAGTGGCTGTCATATTGGACAGCATAAATAGAGAACTTCTTAAGCGTCACAGAAAGATCTATTGGACTGAGTTGGCCTAACCTCTTCATGTCCATTCTGGTACCCAGCTAATTTTAACTACTGTGAAATCTCTTGCATATAAACTATACATGGATGAGATGAATTGCAGGTGCAGAATCAAACACACAGGTTTGAAACATTAAATCTACCCCACCTAACCCTTGTACTATTCTCCTAATCCTTGCCTTGTTGTTGTTGTTGTTTGTTTGTTTTTGAGACAAAGTCTCACTCTGTCACCCAAGCTGGAGTGCAGTGATGCAATCTTGGCTCACTGCAACCTCCACCTCCGGGGTTCAAGTGAGTCTCCCGAGTAGCTGGGATTACAGATGTGCATCACCATGCCTGGCTAATTTTTAGTAAAGACAGATTTTTGCCATTTTGGGCAGGCTAGTCTCAAACTCCTATCCTCAAGTGATCTGCCCCTGGACTCAAGGAATCCCATGGCCTCAAGTGATCTGCCGGCCTCAGCCTCCCAAAGTGCTGGGATTATAGGCGTGAGCCACTGTACCTGTCCCCTGCCTTGTTCTTCTTACAGAGTACAAGCTACCTGATGGCTGGCCACTAGTCTCCTCTGTTGCTTTATTTTATATATTAGGCCAGTCCAGGAATAGGGTGAGGCAAGTCAGATGCTTTCCACCACCTGGAGAGTGAGTTCCTTAAATTTTGCACTCTCAGTGGCTTGCTTCTCCACCTGAGTCCTGGCCCTAATCAAGCAAAGAACGGAAGAATTTGCTTTCATTGATATCATCATCTCTAGCCTTGCTTGGAGGCCCCCGAATCATCAGGCCCTTGGGAAAAGCAAAAACCAAAACCAGATAATGATTTAAAGCAGAGCTTTTCCCAAATATTGTGCCACAGTTAGGGACAGTTGTCCCCAGATATTGATTCCATCAGCCCTCAAAGCATCCAGGCAGCACCCATGGCAATCAGAACCCCTAAGCCAGTCGGTTTTGACCTTGAGCAGATTCTTTCACGTACTGTAATGTGTAGGGTAACCAACCATCCCAGTTTGCTTGGGATTTTCTCAATTTTAGCAAAGCCCCACATCCCTGGAAACTGTTCAGTAGTCTCAGGATGGTTTGGTTACTCTACCAATGGGCCATACCAAAGACTTCCCAGTACTTTCATTTCCTCATCTTTAAAAAGGCGGTAATAATAATGACCTATTTCACAGGGTTGTGAAGTGCTTGCCTGGCCCACAGCAGGTGCCCACATAAGTATTTACTATTATTGGCATCTTCTATGTGTGCCGTGACAAGAGAAATCTTGGGAAGCACTGTTCTAAGAGTTAGTCATGCAGGTGATACACTAGCACCATAGAGGCATTGTTGTAAACAAGGTGTGAATTGTCCAACATTCAGAGGTTAGTAGAGGAGAAGTCAAAATTGATAAACTACTATGAAATGGACAAGTACAGTCATGACATTATGAATCGCAGGGAGAGGGTGGGCGTGGAATAGGATCATAGAAAGCTGTTTCAGGAAACAGATCAACCCCCTGATTTATGAATGAGGAATTTGATCTAGGAAACAGGCCCAGAGAGGGTCAATGACTTGTCCAAAGCCACAAGTCAAGTTAGTGCAGTGCTGAGAATAGAACCTGTGTCTTTGAAATACGAAACCACTGTCTGTTCCCTATGCTATAATGTACAAGCAACAGAGAATGGGGGGGATTTTAGTAAGTCTTCCTGGCGATGGTGGTTTTAATAATTGGCAACAAAGGCTACAACTGATGCCAATCTATCTCTGGCTAGGGCCCTAGGACTGCCCTCCAGCCTGGGTTCATATGACTTGTTTCTCTGGACAGGTCTGCTCATGTCTGCTCTCACGGTTTTCATCCTGATTCTATACTTTGTGATTGACAACTTTGTGATAAATCGCAGACCATGGCTCCCTGAGTGTACTCCCATCTACATCCAGTACTTTGTCAAGTTCTTCATCATCGGCATCACTGTACTGGTGGTGGCTGTGCCAGAGGGGCTGCCTCTGGCTGTCACCATCTCACTGGCCTACTCTGTGAAGGTGAGACTAGAACAATCCTATCTCTTCCTTTAGGATAGAGATGGGAGAGAAGGGTACCATGTAACCTTTAGTGAAAAGATAAGCCATTCTATCATCTATAAACTTTGGCTGGTGCCTCACAAGAGCAGAAGTCCCTGGTATTATGGAAGGACCATCTCTGTCAGATGCATCAATGTTGAAATGACCCAGCAGAATCTTAAGAGAATGACAAAAATGGTATCTTGGATTTTTTTTTTTTTTTAAGACAGAGTCTCATTCTGTCACCCAGGCTGGAATGCAATGATGCAACCTCCGCCTCCCGGGTTCAAGTGATTCTCGTGCCTCAGCCTCCCAAGTAGCTGGGATTACAGGTGTGCACCACCATGCCCAGTTACTTTTTGTATCTTTTACAGAGACAGGGTTTCACCATGTTGGCCAGGCTGGTCTTGAACTTCTGACCTCAGGTGATCTGCCCGTCTCAGCCTCCCGAAGTACTGAAATTACAGGCATGAATCACTGCACCCAGTCAGTATCTTGGATTTTTGTGTGGGACTGGAAGATGAAATGTGGAGAGATGTTGGCTAGGAAATGGCCTTTGACCTAGATTTAGGAGAGTCCAGTTAGTCCCCCTCTCAAGTCTTTTCTCTTCTCCTTTGTAGAAAATGATGAAAGACAATAACCTAGTACGGCACTTGGATGCTTGTGAGACCATGGGCAACGCCACCGCCATCTGCTCTGATAAGACAGGCACGTTGACCATGAACCGCATGACTGTGGTACAAGCTTATATTGGGGGCATCCATTACCGTCAAATCCCAAGCCCTGATGTCTTCCTGCCCAAAGTCCTGGACCTCATTGTCAATGGCATTTCTATCAACAGTGCTTATACCTCCAAGATTCTGGTAAGCATTTCCTTTGCGTAGACACTTAGAGTGGGTGGTTGGAAGGGAACATCCATTTTCTCTGAAATGAACCCCCTTATTGTTTACACTGCCTAAATTGCCATCCCACATCCCATTTCTCACGCTGGAGTGAACATGTTTGGGTGAGACTACAGAAAAATCCCTGGGAGTCAATGGAGGGTTGGAGGTAAGGGCCTGTAAGAATCTATGGCCAGGAAATACCCTCCCAATTAGCATGTAAAAGCAATGTCTCTAAGGAGGGAAAGTAGAAAGTAACCCAAAGTAGAATTGGGCTTATCAGAAGTAAATTACTCACTTTCTAGAAACAAGCATAGTGTATTAGAATAAGACCCACACAAGGCGAGACACCAGCACTACCACTAGAGCAAACTACAAAATCCCTAAGCCCTGGATGGCACAAGGATCACGGTTACCACTGACCCCTCTCTGCCTACCCTTGAAAAACAACAGGCTAGGCATAGTGGCTCACTTCTGTAATCCCAGCACTTTGGGAAGCCAAAATGGTAAGATCGCTTGAGCCCAGGAGTTCGAGACCAGCCTGAGCAATATTGTGAGACCTCATCTCTACAAAAATAAACAAAATTAGCCAGGCATGGTTGCGCACCTGTAGTCCCAGCTACTCCAGAAGCTGAGGTGGGAGGATCACTTGAGCCTAAGAGGTCAAGTCTGCAGTGAGCTGAGATCACACCACTGCAGTCAAGCCTGGGCAACAGAGCAAGGTGCTATGTCAAAAAGAAAAAGAAAAAAGATGCCAGGTGCTGTGGCTCATGCCTGTAATCCCAACATTTTGGGAGGTTGAGGTGGGCAGATCACCTGAGGTCAGGAGTTCAAGACCAGCCTGGCCAACATGGTGAAACCCGGTCTCTACTAAAAATACAAAAATTAGCTAGGCATGGTGGCAGGTACCTGTAGTCCCTGCTACTCAGGAGGCTGAGGCAGAAGAATCACTTGAACCTGGGAGGTGGAGGTTGCAGTGAGCCAAGGTCGTGCCACTGCACTCCAGGCTGGGCAACAGAGCGAGACTCCATCTCCAAAAAAGAAAAAAAAAAATGTTATTTCCCCTATGAGCTCCAGGTATATAATGTGAAGGCTTTGTAAATGAGTTCTTTCTCCCTAAGTTCTCTGCCTTGTCAAGGCATCTTACTCAATAGTGCTGTGTATATTTCTTCTCCCAGCCTCCAGAGAAGGAGGGAGGCCTGCCTCGGCAGGTGGGCAACAAGACCGAGTGTGCTCTGCTAGGCTTTGTCACAGATCTGAAGCAGGATTATCAGGCTGTGCGTAATGAAGTGCCCGAGGAGAAGCTCTACAAGGTGTACACCTTTAACTCAGTGCGCAAGTCAATGAGCACCGTCATCAGGAATCCCAACGGTGGCTTCCGTATGTACAGCAAGGGCGCCTCTGAGATCATCTTGCGCAAGTGAGCACCCCCGACCACTCTGCTTCCCTTCAAGATCCTCTCCTCAGGAAGGCATGGGTGCACACCCCACACTGAACCCATGTGAATGAGGGAGCCCTCCAGCCAGGTGGTGACATAATAACTAATATCCAAGCGTCTACTCAGGCCACGCATGTTTTTTAAGTGCTTAAGGTGGCTTGTTGTATTTAATCCTCACAACTCAGTAAGGTGGGTACTATGATTATCCCTGTTTTACAGATGAGAAAACAGAGATATAAGGAAGTTAAGTATCTCACTCAAGGTGATACAGCTAATAGTGGCACAGCCAGGATTCAGACCTGGACGATCCTAAGTTTCCATTTCCTAATCTGAAAACAGAGATAGCCATACTCAGCTCCTAAAAGTACTACCCCCTCACTGTAACTAAATGATTCAATGTATGTAAAATGCCTTATACATAACAAGTACTAGAAACGTTTGTTCTGTGTTCTCTTTTCCTTCTCTTTCCTTCCCATTCCCATTTCTGATTACAGGGAATTTACATAACTTTAAAAGTGACTATTCGGCCAGGCGCAGTGGCTCACGCCTGTAATCCCAGCACTTTGGGAGGCCGAGGCAGGCAGAACACGAGGTCAGGAGTTCGAAACCAGCCCGACCAACATGGTGAAACCCTGTCTCTACTAAAAAAAAATACAAAAATTAGCCAGGCATGGTGGTGCGTGCCTGTAATCCCAGCTACTCAGGAGGCTGAGGCAGGAGAATCGCTTGAACCCAGAAGGCAGAGGTTGCAGTGAGCTGAGATCGCACCACTGCACTCCAGCCTGGGTGACAGAGTGAGACTCCATTACAAAAAAAAAAAAGTGACTATTAATAAATTACCCATAGTTCATCAAAAGTTGGCACTATACCTAAGTAGGGCTGAATTAACCAGTGCTCCAACATGGCTTTAGCCACCTTCTTTTAATCAGCACATTCTTGTATAGGAAACCTCCCCCAAACCACCAGCACCACACAGTGAGCACTATTCTAAATACTCGGATTGAAAAAGTCTCTCTGCCTTCAAGAAGTTCAAAAGAGCAGGTGATTCACAAATGACTTGCATTGCATTCACATATGGGTAAGAACAGATGACATGGGAGAATCCCACTCTCTATATATCTAGACCTTAACTCCATCCACAGCCCACCTACCTTGGAAAGAGGGACTCAGCTGGGTGATGAATGAAGGAAATGTTTGGCCACACTTGGAGCAATGTCTTTAGGAATAATACAGAGTTGCCAAAATACCTGTCAATGATTGTAGAAACGTATTGAGTGGGAAGGGAGACACCGCGTTCTTACTGTGCGCCTCCCCAGGTGTAATCGAATCCTGGACCGGAAAGGGGAAGCAGTGCCATTCAAGAATAAAGACAGAGATGATATGGTACGCACTGTCATCGAGCCCATGGCCTGTGATGGACTCCGGACTATCTGCATAGCTTACCGGGACTTCGATGACACAGAGCCCTCTTGGGACAATGAGAATGAGATCCTCACCGAACTGACCTGTATCGCGGTGGTGGGCATTGAGGACCCTGTGCGCCCAGAGGTGAGAGGGTGGGAAGCCACCCAGGAGTCTCAGGAAGTGGGGTACTAGTTCCCTTTCTAGTTGTGACCCCAGGCAGGTAACCTAACTGCCTCTCACTTAGAGGGATAGAAGTTTCTGTGCTTCCTGCTTCACAGGACTGCTGTGGAGTGCCAGTATGATCGAATGTGGCATTCCTAGGACTAATGCTGTCTGAGTGTTGAGAAGCAAAGGGCTTATTGGGCTCATTATTTGGTACTTAAGTGTTGTCAGGAGGTCAATTTAGCCAGGACACCAACTTTGTCTTTAGCTCCCTCCTTTCAATCAACACATTCTTTTTGAGTACCTGCTGTGTGCTGATAACTATTCTAGACACTAGGGGATTGAAAAGTCTCTGCTTCTAAGAAGTTTAGACAGATGGACTATTAATTCTCAAGGCCCAGAGGCATGAGAGGGTGTCATGCATGTGGGAAATTACAAAGAGCTGATATGGTTGGAACATGGGCCAGGTGGGTGGAGAGTGGCAAAAGCTTCTGCTAGAAAAGAAAGCACTGGCCAAATCGCAAAATGCCATTCATGCCCTGCCGAGAAGTCTCAATTGTAAGTGAAAGAGCAAGTTTTTACACCTCACTCCCAAAGCAAATTTCCCCTTCAACTCATGGTACAATAGGGCAAATTCAAATGTGACTGCCGTGGGTAGGACAGAAGTGAGGTGGCACCCAACAGTATCAAAATGACCAGACCTAGCCCATGCTGCATGGCACCACTTCTAGGGTGCCTTTCTCCTGTCTGCCACAAAGGGACAGACAAACAGGGACAGCTTACCAGGGTCATCACCCTCATCTGCGCCTTTCCCCTTTCTTCACTCTCCATAGGTGCCAGATGCTATTGCCAAATGCAAACAAGCTGGCATTACTGTCAGAATGGTGACAGGTGACAACATCAACACAGCCCGGGCCATTGCCACCAAATGTGGCATTCTGACACCTGGGGATGACTTCCTGTGCTTAGAAGGCAAAGAATTCAACCGGCTCATCCGCAACGAGAAAGGCGAGGTGGGTCCTGGCTAGGGGGAACCAGGACCTCACCTGACAAGGAAAAGGCGGGTTCTAGCATAAGGCATCTGGGTCATGTGCGGGAAGGTGGGTGGTTTCTAAAGTGAAAGCTATTCGTAGTGAAACATCTCCTTGTACCAAACTGCTGATATGGTAACATTGGGAGTTGCCGGCTGGGCGCGGTAGCTTACTCCTGTAATTCCAGCACTTTGGGAGGCCACGGCGGGTGGATCACAAGGTCAAGAGATAGAGACCATCCTGGCCAACATGGTGAAACCCCGTCTCTACCAAAAATACAAAAATTAGCTGGGCATGGTGGCGTGCACCTGTAGTCCCAGCTACTGGGGAGGCTGAGGCAGGAGAATCACTTGAACCTGGGAGGCGGAGGGTGCAGTGAGCCAAGATCATGCCACTGCACTCCAGCCTGGGCAACAGAGCAAGACTCCGTCTCAAAAAAGAAAAAAAAAAGAGGGGGGGAGTTGCTTGTGAATGAAGCTTGCTAGCTTCATTCACAAGCTATCTTTTGAGACAGTGTCACTAACTTTTCTTGTCTTTCTGCTTTTTCAGTTTTTTATACTGACTTCCCCCTAGCCCACCCCTCCTGTGTCCCTGCCCTTTGGCTAACAGTGGCTAAAGGAGAATGTGGTCTGGCGGTGGCACAGATCCAAGCTTTCCTGAGCTACATAGAAATCAAACCTAAGACCTCAGAAGCACCACTTTACCCACCCGAGCCAACAGCCAACCCTGGCCCACCTCCCATTAAAGGTCTGGGAAATGGGGGATTGGCTGCCAGGTAGGGACTTGGGAGGAAAAAGAAAAAAAGCAGGGCCTGAATGGTCATCATCCATGAATCTACCCTTGGAGACTGGTTGGCTGTTTCATCTCTGCTTAATCCAGAATAACACTTTCATGTGGGACTGTGGTGTACCCAATCTCCCAGTGACTCCAAGTGTATGGAGAAGTTAAGATTTTCCTGGATAGCTTTTCTGCATTTGACTGATCCAGGTGTGGTCTGGTGTTGGCAGGTAGAGCAAGAAAAGCTGGACAAGATCTGGCCTAAGCTTCGGGTCCTGGCGCGATCTTCTCCCACTGACAAGCACACCCTGGTGAAAGGTGAGGTTGGCTTCCAAATAGGTGCCTGCAACAGCTGAAGGCAGGCCAGGGCGAGGACAGATAAGAACCACCAGCCAAAGCCACTCTCCTGTCCAAATAGGGAGGTCCTAGGAGAGCTCCCAGGCTAGTGGGGAGAACATACAGTTAGCAAACATCTGAGCCCTTGGTGAGTATGACACACAATAAAGTTGTTGGGTTTTTATTTTTTTTATTTTTTGTTTTTATTTTTGGAGACCGAGTCTTGCTCTGTCACCCAGGCAGGAGTGGAGTGGTGCAATCTCAGCTCACTGCAACCTCCGCCTCGTGAGTTCAAGTGATTCTCCTGCCTCAGCCTCCCGAGTAGCTGGGACTACAGGCGCATGCCACCATGCCTGATTAATTTTTGTATTCTTAGTAGAGACAAGGTTTCACCATGTTGACCAGGCTGGTCTCGAACTCCTGACCCCAGGTGATCCGCCCACCTCGGCCTCCCAAAGTGTTGGGATTAGAGCCGTGAGCCACCGCACCTGGCAATTGCATGGGTTCTTAAAAACATGATCATGTCTTATTTACCAATAGTACTGTGAACTAGGCAGGGCAGGTATTCCCATTTTACAAATGAGGAAGTTTGAGGCTGAGAAGACAAGTAACTTACCCAAATTACCCAGCTGGTACGTGGAAATGGTGCAGTTTGACCCCTAGGTCTCTGCCTTGAAATCCATCCTATGTGTTCTTCATAGCTGTCTTAGGGTACCGGATGAGGACAAACTTAGTTCAGTGCTACTCATGAAACAACTTACTGCCCTTAGGTGGTTCCTGTAGAACTTCTAGGAAAGGGAAAAGGGAAGGAAAGAAGAAAGTAGAAGGAGTGGCGGGTGGTAGGAACTGAAGGGTGGGGGAGACCAGAAAAGCTCACTGTGGTGTGTCTGTTTCTCCCAGGCATAATTGACAGCACTGTTGGGGAACACCGGCAGGTCGTGGCTGTCACTGGTGATGGCACAAATGACGGGCCTGCTCTGAAGAAAGCGGATGTTGGTTTTGCCATGGTAAGCTCAGCACAGTGTCTCTCTGATTGCAAGCTGCCTTCTCCATCAGGAAGCCAGGTCCGGCTTCTGGTTGCCTGCTGCTTGCTACACCTGCATAGCCCATGGGGTGCTTTTTTGTCCAACTCCATCTCTCCTATCTACCGGGCCAATCATGATATATGTAACTGGGGACCCATCAAGTATGAAGAATAGATAAGAGGGAGGGAAGTCATGAAGAATCATATGCAGGAAAGCCAGACCAACATAAACTTGCCTATAAACATGTGAGGTTGTCAACTAGGCAAACTCTAGAAGATTTGTGTTCCCTATGGTAGGCGCTCTGTGTGGCTGGCACCATTGGGTATTCCGCTTTTCACTTCTGAGGCCAAGAGCATCAGAATCACTTGGAAAGTTCATGTGAAATCACATGTTCCAAGGCTCCACAGTTAGACGTCTTAATTCAGTAGGTCTGGGATGAATACCAGAATTTTTTTTTAACAGGCACACCAGTTAATTCTGATGTTCAGAAAGGTTTAGAAGCCCCCCAGATTCTATCCTCACACTCAAGTAGTTTATGATTATAAGCCTCCCATACAGATTGAACTGTTGGTGATTTTTAGCAGTGGAAGGACATTTAAGAAGTCATCTATCTTTAGAGAACTCTTTTTTTTAAGGGTTTTATTCTAGGAAATTTCAAGAATATGCAAAAATAGGGAGAATTGACAGGTACCTGTCACTCAGCTTCAACTATGATCAACACATGGCCAATCTTGTTTCAGTGATTCCCCCCCATTTACATCCCCAGTCTTCAGCTGAATTGTTTTTGAAGCAAATGCAAGGCATCATGTAATTTCATCCTTAAAAATTTCATGGCCGGGTGCAGTGGCTCACACCTGTAATCCCAGCTACTCGGGAGGCTGAGGTAGGAGAATCACTTGAACCCGGGAGGCAGAGGTTGCAGCGAGCCAAGATCACGCCACTGCACTCCAGCCTGGGTGACAAAGCTAGACTCTGTCTCAAAAAACAAAAGAGATTCCCCCTCATTGACTATTTGATTACTCTGAGGCGGGCAGATCGCCTGAGGTCAGGAGTTCGAGACCAGTCTAGCCAGCATGGTGAAACCCCAGCTCTACTAAAAATACAAAAATTAGCTGGGCATGATGGTAGGCGCCTGTAATCCTAGCTACTCCGGAGGCTGAGGCAGGAGAATCACTTGAACCTGGGAGGCAGAGGTTACGATGAGCCGAGTTAGCACCACTGCACCCCAGCCTGGGTGACAGAGCAAGATTCCGTCTCAAAAAAAATTTTCTTTTCATTATATGGGGGGATGGTGTGGGGCAAAAAAAAAAATTTCATTATATGCCTCTAAATAATAATTATATATCAATAATCTATATATCTAAAAGAATCTTAATACCATTATCTCAGAACAAAATCGATGCTTCCTTACTATCATGAAATTTCTAGTTTGTTCACATTTTCCTAACTGACTCAAATGTTTTTATAGTTTATTTGCCCAAATCAGGATTCAGATAAGATCCATAACTTGCAGTTATTTGATACATCTGTTAAGTCTCTTAACCTATCTCTTGGAGTGCGCCTCCTTCCAGCTGTACCAGTAGCTGTACTAGCTGTATAGTAGGTTTCTATACAAACCCATAGAATGCAGATTCACCCACTCAGGCCCCACCCCAGATTTACTGAATTGGAAAGCCGGGAACTGGGGCCCAGAAATCTTAATTAATTATGTTAAATCTGTTAAATGTGTTTTGACAGGCTCTCTCAGTGATTCTATGTACCCTAAACTTTAAGAATCACTGATCTTATAGGATCTCTATGTTGGGAGTCCCCAAAAACACCCCTATATTCATGGGGTTGCTAGGAGGACTCATGGGACTTGGCATATAGTTGTACTCATGACTAAGATTCATAACAGTGATGTAGTAAGAATACAGTTGGATCATAAAAGAAAAAGACAATGGCAGAATCTGGATAAATCTATTTGCAGTCTTTCTTATGCTCTCCCTCCCATGAGGAGTCAAACAGAGTCCATTCTTTCCCCACTAATGAAAACACAGAAATATATGTGTGATGTTCTGCCTAGGGAAGCCCATCATGGACTTAGTACCCAAGGTTTTTCTTGAGGCTGGTCACATAGGCACCTTCTGCCTAGCACATACCAAAATTCCAGACTCCCAAAAGGAAAGCAAATGTTCAATGTAAACCACATTGTTCGGACACAGTCTAGACACAATGAGCCACCTTTATCAGTTAGTTGTTGAGGGCAAGCATTCTGAGAGCCCATTTCCCAGAAGCCAGCCAAGGGCCCACCCTGCAAGCATTCCTTCCTAAGGACAGTCGTCTCAGGCCTGCTGTGTTAACTCTCTTTTGCACAATCCCCCTCCATCTTTTTTCCTAGCAACTTAGTTTTGAAGGAAGTGGGTTGTTTGTCTGCAGAGACTATCCCTCAGTATAGATTTTGTTGATTATTTCACTGTGATTTCCTTTAACGTATTATTTTCTTCCTTATATTTCCTATAAGCAAGTAGTTGGTTCTAGAAGTTATCAGATTCTAGACCCTTTCTTTCATTGAGGGCTGCAAAATGACAATATTGTAATTCTTTATTTATTAACTTAAATACTTACATAAAAAGAGATTCCCGGCCGGGCGTAGTGGCTCGTGCTTGTAATCCCAGCACTTTGGGAGGCTGAGGCAGGCAGATCACGAGGTCAGGAGTTCAAGACCAGCCTGGCCAAAACAGTGAAACCCGTCTCTACTAAAAACACAAAAATTAGCTGGGCATGATGGCGGGCGCCTGTAATCCCAGCTACTTGGGAGGCTGAGGCAGGAGAATCACTTGAACCCGGGAGGCAGAGGTTGCAGTGAGCCAAGATCACGCCTCTGCATTCCAGCCTGGGTGACAAAGCTAGACTCCATCTCAAAAAACAAAAGAGATTCCCCCTCATTGACTATTTGATTACTCTGAGGTTCCAATCCTACCTGAAAGGTAGGTTTTTGGTTTGTTTTTTAATTACTGGTTTTTTTTAAAATGATGAGTTGACTTTTTAGGAACCTCCAAAGGTGACCAATGAGTGGATTTTTTTTTAAGTATCATTACGAATTCATAGATTTAAGTATATTTGATGTGTTTCAATCCACTGCTCTTAGTATGGTTTTGATGCTCAAAGTGATCCACCATTAGGCAGAAGAGGCCTCTTCAACATTGCTGAGTCCTTTAGATACAACCCCAGTTGTTTTTAATAGCTTTCTTGGTTTATTCTTGGTTTTTTCGTTCTTTTTTATCCTGGATAGGAGATAGTCCATTTCTCCAAGGATTCCTGCTTCATTTTAATGTGAAATGGTATTTATTTTATTTATTTATTTATTTATTTATTTATTTATGAGACGGGGCCTTGCTCTGTCACCCAGGCTGGAGTGCAGTGGGGCAGTCTCGGCTCACTGCAACCTCCACTTCCCAGGTTCAAACAATTCTCCTGCCTCAGCCTCCTGAGTTAGCTGGGATTACAGGCAGCTGCCACCAAGCCTGGCTAATTTTTTGTATTTTTAGTAGAGATGGGGTTTCACCATGTTGGCCAGGCTGGTCTCAAACTCCTGACCGCAAGTGATCCACCTACCTCAACCTCCCAAAGTGCTGTGATTACAGGGGTGAGCCACCGCGCCCGGCCTGAAACGGCCTCCCAACACTTTGGGAGGCCAAGGGGGAAGGAGCACTAGAGAACACAATTGGAACTCAAAGGTGTTCCTTGCTACTGAGTAGATCTTTGTTTCTAAGCCTTTTCAGTGGACAAAGCTAAGAAGTATGCTCTTAAGTCTCACTTGCTTTTGTGTTTGTTTTGTGTTTGCTCACAAAGAGAAAATACTTCGTGAATTCATATTTCTGTTTTTCATTTACTTTTAGAATTACATATTTTTTATTCCACTTTTAGAAGAAATAATAATTTTTTAAAGAATTATAGATGTCTAACTTCCTGATTTATAACTTTCTAATTTTATTTTATTTTATTTTATTTTATTTTATTTTATTTAGTTATTTATTTTGAGACACAGTCTCACTCTGTCGCCCAGGCTGGAGTGCAGTGGCATGATCTTGGCTCACTGCAACCTCTGCCTCCCAGGTACAAGCAGTTCTCCTGCTTCAGCGTCCTGAGTAGCTGGGATTACAGGCGTGTGCCACCACACCCTGCTAATTTTTGTATTTTTTAGTAGAGATGGAGTTTCGCCATTTTGGCCAGAGTGGTCTCAAACTCCTACCCTCAAGTGATCTGCCCACCTTGGCCTCCCAAAATGCTGGGATTACAGGCATGAGCCACCACACCCAGCTTCTAATTGTATTTAACTTCCCTGATTTTATGTTTGTATCCCTTAAGCTGAAAATTTTGATTCCTAATTGCATTAACATGATTATTTTTTGTTTTATTCTAAAATATTTCAAGTAGTTACAAAATATCAATAATATTAATAATACAGTTACTCTGCCAAAAACAATTAAATATTTTTCTCATAGTTCCTTTTATCCATAGGTATATGCTACCAGGAATGTGCCATCAAATTATTGTTTTTAAGTCATTTGTAACATTTGTCTGTGTGTGTGCAGTTGTGCTACCAAGTGGCTACCAGATCATTTATATCATGTTACTTTCCGTTTTGGAGATTGCTTTTTAGGCCAGTGTGGTGGCTCACACCCGTAATCAATCGCAACACTTTGGGAGGCCAAGGGAGAAGGAGCACTAGAAGCCAGGATTTCGAGACCAGCCTGGACAATATAGTGAGACTCCCATCTCTAAAAAAAATAAAAAATTAGCCAAGTGTGCTGGCACACACCTGTCGTCCCAGCTACTCAGGAGGCTGAGGTGGGAGGATTGCTTGAGCCCAAGAATTCAAGGCTGCAGTGAGCCAAGATCACACCTCTGCACTCCAGCCTAGATGACAGAGCAAGACCCTGTCTCGAAAAAAAAAAAAAAAAAAAAGCAAGAGAGATAAAATACATGGTTCTAAAGTCAAATGTACAAAACAAGGTATATTCATACAAATCCGGCTTCCACCCTCATTGCCTTTGCCTTGCTGCTTCCCTCTTAATTCAATAGGTAATTTTTTTCTGTCGTTTTTGGTGTATTCTTCTGTTTGCTCCTTTAAAGTATAATCAAATGCAGTCTGGGCACGGTGGCACATGACTATAATCCCAGCACTTTGGGAGGCCAAGGCAGGTGGATCACCTGAGGTCAGGAGTTCAAGACCAGCCTGGCCAACATGATGAAACCCCTATCTCTACTAAAAATACAAAATTAGCCCGTCATGGTGGTGCGTCCCTGTAATCCCAGCCACTCAGGAGGCTGAGGCAGGAGAGGAGACTCGCTTGAACCCAGGAGTCAGAGGTAGCAGTGAGCTGAGATCACACCACTGCTGTCCAGCCTGGGCAACAGAGGGAGACTCTGTCTCAAAAACTATAAATAAATAAATAAATAAATAAATAAATAAATGTAATATATTCATGGCCTGCCCCCTTAGATAAGTGATACCATACCATCAACTCATTTTTCTACCTTTCTTTCTTCACTTACCAACATAACTTAGAGATTATTTCATAATAGTAATTATAAAGCTGGGCGATATAGAGAGACCCCCATGTCTACAAAAAATTTAAAAATTAACCAAGCAGGGTGAGCAAATGCCTGTAGTCCCGTTACTCAGGAGGCCAAGGTGGGAGGATCATTGGAGCCCCAGATGTGGAGCTTGCATTTAGCTGAGATCCTGCCACTGCACTCCAGCCTGGACAAAGCAAGACCTTGTCTCAAATTTTTTTTTAATTTAACTTAAAAGGAAAATTTTGAACAAAGATGAAATTTTGGAACTGTGCTGCCATACTACTACTCCTAGAACAAATGCAGAGTTTCTCAAAGGTGTCGGAATAACATGGGCTTAAGTGAGATACTGGCAGTGGCAACAGAAATGTGAGAATTTGGAGGTAGAATAGACAGGATTTGCTCTCTACCTTTTAATTAGTTTCCAAGGTTGAGGGAGTAGGAGGGGAGGGTGAAAGGGATATCAAAGATGATTGTAATTCCCAGTCTGAGCTCAACAGTAAGGTTGGTGGCATCAGGCCGCAGCCCTCCTTTCTCTAGAGTGACAGTGACACATTTGCTCTTTGTTTTCTTTTGTGTGACTAGTGTGCCCTGTAGTATTTACACTGACTTCGGAAGCTTCCTGGAGGTCAGGAAATGGAGCCTGGGCTTTATCCACTCCCTCACTGTTTTCCCTCCCATCTTACCTCAGGGCATCGCAGGCACAGATGTAGCAAAGGAGGCTTCAGACATCATCCTAACAGATGACAACTTCACCAGCATTGTGAAGGCAGTGATGTGGGGACGAAATGTCTATGACAGCATCTCCAAGTTCCTGCAGTTCCAGCTCACTGTCAATGTGGTGGCCGTGATTGTAGCCTTCACTGGAGCCTGTATCACTCAGGTGAAGGGGGTGTGGGTGGGCTGAGACGGGAGGGATGAGTCAGGGGCTAAGGAACATGGAGTGAAGACTACGGTGTGTTTACTGAAGAGTAAAGACAGCGTTTCCCCATGACATTGGGACAGGAGTTAGCTCTTCTAAGTCTGCTGTCTTCATCTGCTTATGTAGATGGTAACTTACAGGCCTTAGCTTAGCACTTATGTGTCAGCCACTGTAATAAGCATTTATATGCACTATCTGTATTCTTCAAAAATGACCTTGTGAAGTAGGTATTATTATCCCCATTTTATGGGTGAGGAACTTGAGGCTCAAGGAAGTTAAGTAGCTTTCTCACAGTCACTCAGCTAGGAAGTGGCCAGATTCCAAGTCTAGGTGGGTCGTGGGAGCTGGGCCATCGACAGGGCAAAGGTGGGCTGGTTTCAGAGAAAAGCTAAAAGGACTGGTTCTTCTCCCCGCCAGGATTCCCCATTGAAAGCTGTGCAGATGTTGTGGGTTAATCTGATCATGGACACTTTTGCTTCATTGGCCCTGGCCACAGAGCCCCCTACGGAATCTCTGTTGAAGCGGCGCCCCTATGGCCGAAATAAGCCTCTGATCTCACGCACTATGATGAAGAACATCTTGGGCCATGCATTCTATCAGCTCATTGTCATCTTTATCCTTGTCTTTGCGGGTGAGCCACTTTGGGGGTGGGTAGCAGCTGGGGTCCTGGTTGGAGGTGGGGGCAGAGAAAGAAGGTAGCGTGAGAGCAAGTGCACAGGTCAGGAATAAGCGCAGCTTCACCTCCCAGTGCTTGCTGTGCTCCCGCTACACGGTGCATTATGCTACTATATGTACTCATACAGTACTCTTGAGTACAGTGTGTACTGTGTGTACTCAAGAATTTCACAAGGGAGGCTTTATTATTTCTTTCTTTCTTTTTTTTTTTTTTTTTTTCTTTTTGGAGACAGAGTCTCGCTCTGTCACCCAGGCTGGAGTGCAGTGGCGCTAACTCGGGTCACTGCAACGTCTGCCTCCCAGGTTCAAGTGATTTTCCTGCGTCAGCCTCCCAAATAGCTGGGATTACAGGCATGCGCCACCACACCCGGCTACTTTTTGTATTTTTAGTAGAGATGGGGTTTCATCATGTTGGCCAGGCTGGGCTCGATCTCCTGACCTTGTGATCTGCCCACCTCAGCCCCCCAGAGTGCTGGGATTACAGGCATGAGCCACCACGCCTGGCTTATTTCTTTTTTTACAGATTCAAAAAATTAACCTCAGGTCCCATAATGAGTACATAGTTGCAGTAAAATTCAAACCTATGATTGCCTGACTCCAGCGCACATAGTCTTACTACCATGCTGCACTACATGAGAGCAAGTATCAATGCAGCAAACTGAGAGAGAAGGTAAAATAAGTCAAGACCAGAACTAACATTTAAAATGTTTAATAACTAGTACAACAAAAAATTAGCCAGGCATGGTGGTGCACGCCTGTAGTCCCAGCTATTTGGGAGGCTGAGATGGAAGGATCACTTGAGCAGGAAGGTCCAGGCTGCAGTGAGCCATGATCATGCCACTGCGCTCCAGCCTGGGTGACAGAGTGAGACCCTGTGTCAAAAAAATAAATAACTAGTGCAGCTCAGATATTGATTAATTAGAATGGACACCAGCCATAAGCAAGCAGTATATCTGTACCAACACATTCTTACTCTTAGTTCAGACCACACTTAACCTCCAGTGCTTCTCCTCTCCCCACTAGGTGAGAAATTCTTTGATATTGATAGTGGGAGGAAGGCACCTCTACATTCACCACCCAGCCAGCACTATACCATTGTTTTTAACACCTTCGTGCTGATGCAGCTCTTCAATGAAATCAACTCCCGAAAGATCCATGGAGAGAAGAACGTCTTTTCAGGCATCTACCGCAACATTATCTTCTGCTCTGTAGTCTTGGGCACATTCATCTGCCAGGTGAGATTCTATCTGCAGTTGGGGCAGGAGATCTGGAATGATAAAGGGCAGAAGCTGGGAGCCAGGGTTCCCTACATACCTAGGAAAAGGAATGAAGGAATTACGGGGACTGGAGCTGTAAGTTGAACACTTTGGGATTCCCAATCTGCTTTCTTTTGCATATTGCTCTAGAATTGGAGCCCATTGTGTCAAGAGCTCCAGTGCAGGGCAGCATGTTGACTGGAAATAAAATAATACTTCTAAAATCCTTTCATGATCTTTCTAAATACACAGAAATTTCACAGAATGACCAAAAGAAGTATTCTCTTCTAGTCCCTTTCTATGGCTCCTGTCAGCCTATATGAAATGTGCATGCACATCTAGTATAGACTCTCCCTGTCCCTGCCCTTTGTTCTGAAGGGCTTATGATAAAAAGTGTTGTGCAACTCAAAGAAAGAGAAGTAATGGGATTTGTACATGTATATTACATAGTCAGCCCAGCTTGGACTCCTCCAATATGAGACTATGAGCTGATCATGTCCCATCCCTCAGCAGGGCACCTCCCTTTATTTGTCCCCATCCTCAATTCCTTTTTTTTTTTTTTTTTAATTTTAAAAATACAGATGGGGTCTCACTCTGTTGCTCAGGCTGGTCTCAAACTCCTGGCCTCAAGCAATCCTCCCGCCTCCCAAAGTGTTATTACGCCTGCCATTTTTTCTTTTTGTTTTTTTTTTTTTCGTTTGAGACAGATATCTCTCTCTCTCTCTCTCTCTCTCTCTCTCTCTCTCTCTCCCTCTGCCTCTCTCTCTCTCTCTCTTTTCCCCCCTCCCCCAGGGGGAGTGCAGCCTCAGTCTCCCAGGTTCAGGCAATCCTCCCACCTCATCCTCAGTTCCTAACTCCATCACTGTACCTTCTCCTTGTCACTAACTGGCTTTAGTCACAAGAAGCCACCAGCTCCCCTAACTCCTCCAGATTGTCTGTTAATCATAGTCACAGTAACTATGTCTGTCTCCCCATCAGAGTGCTCTTAAAGGCTGTTTTTGTCTGTCTCCCCTTTGAGATTTCTTCTTTTCCCTTCCCCTGCAAGCAAATCGGGACTTGTACCCAAGGATCCTGAGGAGTGGGATGATGTGGCTTTGGGGGCCTTGGCTGGAGGGCCAGCTGCCTGTTAGTCATTTCCTTGATGGTGGGCTGCCCCTTTCTCTGTTCTAGATTTTCATCGTGGAATTTGGGGGTAAACCCTTCAGTTGTACAAGCCTCAGCCTGTCTCAGTGGCTGTGGTGTCTCTTCATTGGGATTGGAGAACTTCTGTGGGGCCAGGTGAGTACCGGCACACCCTCCTGGTGCATTCTCACAGCCTGCAGAACTCCCCTCCTCTACATGAGATGGAACAAGCAACGGTGGAGACCCCCCAGCTCCTCATCTTCATCTTCTCCTCTTCCCTCCCCACCCCCACTCAAGTTTTCAAGTTCTTGCCATCTCATAGGATCTCAAGGTGGAATGATCACTTCAGAGGTTTCAGAATTCTTCTCTAACTAAGCCTGGAGGTAGAAAAATCCCTTAGCTTGGCTGGGCGCAGTGGCTCACACCTGTAATCCCAGCACTTTGGGAGGCCGAGGCAGGCAGATCACGAGGTCAGGAAATCAAGACCGTCCTGGCTAACATGGTGAAACCCCGTCTCTACTAAAAATACAAAAAATTAGCTGGGCATGGTGGCAGGTGCCTGTAGTCCCAGCTACTCGGGAGGCTGAGGCAGGAGAATGGCGTGAACCTGGGAGGTGGAGCTTGCAGTGAGCCGAGATTGCGCCACTGCACTCCAGCCTGGGCGACAGAGCAAGACTCAGTGTCAAAAAGAAAAAAAAAAGAAAAATCCCTTAGCTTCTCTGAGACAGAAACCAAACTTTTCAATGGAATTTTGCTACAAAAAAAAAATATATAATAAGGGTCTTAGAAGTAGAAGAGTTTACAAGACACATGTCTTTATTCTCATGAGGCAGCAACCTGGCTATGGGCTGTCGAGCTGACATAATTCAGGGTTTCCAGCCTCTTCTCTTTCTTGCCATGGCTTTATCTGGGTGGAATTCTTAACTCTTACCTGAGATAAATTCAGATTTACAAGATCTCTAGAGTAGCAGTATGGCCTGTGGTTCAGAGCATGGACTCTGGGAATGACTGCCTGGGTTTGAATCCAGCTCTCTGTTTTTTTTTTTTTTTTTTTTTTTTTCTGAGACAGAGTCTTGCTCTGTCACCCAGGCTGGAGTGCAGTTGTGTGATCTCGGCTCACTGCAAACTCTGCCTCCTGGGTTCAAGCAATTTCTCCTGCCTCAGCCTCCCAAGTAGCTGGGATTACAGGCAACCACCACCGCACCTGGCTAATTTTTGTATTTTTACTAGAGACGGAGTTTCACCTTGTTGGCTAGGCTGGTCTGGAACTCCTGACCTCGTGATCTGCCTGCCTTGGCCTCCCAAAGTGCTGGGATTACAGGTGTGAGCCACCGCACCTGGCCCAGCTCTTGTTGCCCAGGCTGGAGTGCAATGGTGCAATCTTGGCTCACTGCAACCTCCACCCTCCAGGTTCAAGCAATTCTCCTGCCTCAGCCTCCCAAGTAGCTGGGATTACAGGCACCCACCACCGCGCCCAGCTAATTTTTTGTATTTTTAGTAGAGACAGGGTTTCACCATGTTGGCTAGGCTGGTCTCAAACTCCTGATCTCAGGTGATCCACCCGCCATGGCCTCCGAAAGTGCTAGGATTACAGGCCTGAGCCACCGTGCCCAGCCTCAGCTCTCCTTTTTATAAGCTGAATCATCTTGGGCAAGTTACATAACCAATCTGTGTCTCAGTGTCTTCAGCTTAGGAAAACAAGGTCATTGTTAATTAGTGAATCAGTTACTATACAGTAATGAATAATGTCTTATTCCTTATAAATAATCAAATTTTAAACTATTACGATTATAATAGTATCATTAAGTCTAATAGTTTCACTTCTTCCTTAATACCACTTTACAAACCTCCCTCATCCTCAGCTCTGGCCTGGGCTATACCTCTCTTTACAGACCCCAGGTCTCTGCAGATAATCCCTTAGTGTCCAGCCACCCAGGTAATGGACACTTTGCCCTAACTGGCCTCAAAGAGCCATTTCTGGAGCTGCAGGCCTTCTCCCCTAAACCTGCTAGTTATTTATTTCATACCTAGATGCCTCCCTGAATAATTTCTTTTTCTTTTCTTTTCTTTTCTTTTTTTTTTTTTTTTTTTTTTAAGAGATGGGGGTCTCAGGCCAGGCGCAGTGGCTCACACCTATAATCCCAACACTTTGGGAGGCTGAGTCGAGCAGATCACCTGAGGTCAGGAGTTCGAGACCAGCCTGGCCAACATGGTGAAACCCTGTCTCTACTAAAAATACAAAAAAAAAAAAAAAAAATTGGCCGGGCATGGTGACACATGCCTGTAATCCCAGCTACTTGGGAGGCTGAAGCAGAATTGCTTGAACCCGGGAGGCGGAGTGCAATGAGCTGAGATCACGGCACTGCACTCCAGCCTGGATGACAAGAGTGAGACTCTATGTCGAAAAACAAAAAATAAAGAGATTGGGGTCTCACTATGTTGCCAGGCTGATCTCAAAGTCCTGGGCTCAAGCAATCCTCCTGCCTCGGCCTCCCGAAGTGCTGGGATTACAGGCATGAACCGCTGCACCCAGCCCTCCCTAATTAATGTCTGACCCAATTCCCTCCACCCTGTTCTGTTTGGTGAAGATTTCTTTTTTTTTTTTTTTACCAATGGGTTCCTAAAGCAGTTTTATGCTTTGGTAAAGCTTGGTTGTTAAACCTGTTGTTTGAAACTCTGTTCTGGCTCTTGCCTCACATGTGGCCATGTGGCCTTGCTGCCAGACAGCAGCCTTCCTTCTGTATCACAACAGCTTTTTCCACATTCAGAGGCAGAGCTCTGGCATTCTTCCCATTTCAAAACCCTTGACTCCATATCAGATTGCCCATACAGTCCCTCTTCCCCACATGAGCCCTGGCTACTCCTTATCTTGTCCGGAAAGAACTGACTGACAGGTGCTGAGCTCACCGGGAAATTTATTTCAAATTTCAAACCCTATGTACTGCTCCTTGTCTTCTGATAATACTCATGTGACCCCTCTTCTATGGACTGTCCCATCCACTTCCTCACCTCAAGCCCAAGAAAACTTTTGGTATCCTTTCACAAGAGTTTGTAACACAGAAACTACTTTGCATGTGGCAACTAAGAAAGGGGTCATTCATTTCCAATACCCTTCTCAACCCCTTGCCTATACATAGGCAATATCACCATCTTCTCCCCAAACTCTTTTCCCCCAGGTCCTGGTCTCTGTTTCTTCCTACTGCGTACCATGCTGTATAGTTCTGTTAACCTTAAAAGACAGATTGCAAAATGGAACAGAAGAAATGAGACAGAAAGAGGAAAATGAAGTATATGACCAGGCAGATGGCTGGTCAATTACTAGAATAGAAGCTCTCTTTTGTGTGTGTCCATAAATACAGAAAACCTTCCTAAAAGCCTGACCGCTGGTGGGCACTTGGAGAATGCTTGCCTGGATGGATTGGTGCTTCTGCCCACTGCTCTTCCAGTGGGAAGGGTGGTAGGGCAAAGAGTAACCTGCCCAAGGGCCTGGCTCATGTAAGTTGACTGACAGCTCTTCTCACGCTGATTCTGACGTCTTCCTCTTCGCTGCGCTTGTTTTCAGTTCATCTCCGCAATACCTACCCGATCCCTGAAGTTCCTGAAGGAGGCTGGGCATGGCACCACCAAAGAGGAGATCACCAAGGATGCCGAGGGACTGGATGAGATTGACCATGCTGAGATGGAGCTGCGCCGAGGCCAGATCCTCTGGTTCCGGGGCCTGAACCGTATCCAGACTCAGGTACTCTGATAGTGGTCTGTCCTTCCCTTGGGAGAAGCAGCTTCCCATCTTGGAAGGTGTTGGGAGGGTAGCAGTTCTTGTCGGCCAGCATCTCTTCCCTTCCAAAGGCTCACTACTGATGGGCAGCCCTAGATCCTCAGCTTCAGGACAGACACGCAAAAGGATCTGTGTGGGGTCCTCTGAGAGGAGAGGAGTCAAATGACCTAGACCATGGGACACTATTAGCATAGTCCTTTAGCTCTGGGTTGACCCTAAAGCCCAGCCTGCCACCCTCTATCAAATGGGCAAGCTTCAGCATAAGGTCTCTTGCAAGCACTAGACCTGACCCCAGGGTGGGAAATGCTCAGTTTTTCCCTACCCTTCAGAAGGAAGGAGTTAGACAATATCAATATGCCAACATACCCAGCATTCACTTAATATAGCTTCCTCACACTGCCATTATAGGAATAGATGCTATCTGGAAGGGTCTTTGTAAAAGAAACTCACCTTGTTATATCTCCCCCATTCAAAGTGTAAGGCCATGGTGGGGAATCTGATGGTTTCATGTGTAAAAATGACAATAGTCTCTTGATGTCTGAGCATCTTTTGCAGGATTCAGACTTGCTTCCTGACAAGGAGGAAGCAATAATTTCTTCAAGCCTCTTCCCTTCTTGCAATTTCTGAAATGGGATAGAAGCCACCCCTGCTGCTCTTATGTCCCCTGTCTATAGCCCCACAATAACTTTTATTTTTTCCACTTTCCATGCATCAATTGTAACTACTTTCTCCTGGGTGAATGCGCTGATCTAAGCATTGATAATTCTGTCTTCCCCTGCTCTCACCCCCCATAGCTTTATTGTTTTAATCCTGAGATTTTCCATTTCAAAAACACTGTAAATTCCAAGATCTCAAGGGTGGTCTCCAGAAAACAGGCGTATTTCTCTCTGCTGATTGGCTAGAGATCTTCAAAATAAGTTTCACTGTCTAAAACTGGCCTTGCAAATGTTTTAGAAAGTTCCCCAGTCGGCCAGGCATGGTGGCTCACGCCTGTAATCCCAGCACTTTGGGAGGCCAAGGTGGGTGGATCACCTGAGGTCGGGAGTTCAAGACCAGCCTGACCAACATGGAGAAACCGCGTCTCTACTAAAAATCCAAAATTAGCCGGGCGTAGTGGCACATGCCTGTAATCCCAGCTACTCGGGAGGCTGAGGCAGAAGAATTACTTGAACCCGGGAGGCAGAGGTTGTAGTGAGCTGAGATTGCGCCATTGCACTCCAGCCTGGCCAACGAGAGCTAAACTCTGTCTCACAAAAAAAAAAAGACTGGGCGCGGTGGTTCTCACCTGTAATCCAGCACTTTGGGAGGCCAAGGCAGGTGGATCCCCTGCCTTAGGTGAAACCCCGTCTCTACTAAAAATACAAGCCAGGCATGGTGGCACATGCCTGTAGTCCCAGCTACTTGGGAGGCTGAGGCAGGAAAATCGCTTGAACCCAGGAGGCGGAGGTTGCAGTGAGCTGAGACCACACCATTGCACTCCAGCCTGGGTGACAGATTGAGAGTTGTCTCAAAAAAAAAAGAGAAAGAAAAGAAGTTCCCCAGTCAATCCCACCTCGTTAGTGTATAGGAGAGATAGATGGAGTGAATATTCTAAACTATATACCTGGTAGGAACTTATCCCCTATAGGCAAGACAACAAATAGAAAAGTGGAAAAGAGGCCGGGTGCGGTGGCTCACGCCTGTAATCCCAGCACTTTGGGAGGCCGAGGCTGGCAGATCATAAAGTCAGGAGTTCGAGACCAGCCTGGCCAACATAGTGAAACCTTGGCTCTGCCAAAAATACAAAAATTAGCTGGACGTGGTGGTGGGCGCCTGTAATCCCAGCTACTCTGGAGGCTGAGGCAGGAGAATCGCTTGAACCCGGAAGGCTGAGGTTGCAGTGAGCTGAGATCGCGCCATTACACACCAGCCTGGGCAACAAGGCAAGACTCTGTCTCAAAAAAAAAAAAAAAAAAGAAGAAGAAAAGTGGATTGCAGACTCACTATGCACCTGACTGTACTTCCAGGCAGGTGCTTTTTCTGTCTGCCAGAGAAACATTCCAGGGTGCTGTGGCTGCCTCACCTATCCAGGGCGATGCAGCTCCCTGGGGACACAGGTGCTTCCTGGGGAGCCCTGAGCACTTCTCCGTGTTGCTGGCCTCACATCCAATTGGGCAGGCATTGGAGTCCGGGCACTGCCTGGAGCTCACCAGAAGGTGCTTTACAGTGGTCCTTGGTTTGTCTCTCAGAGGGCTTGGTCCCCTCTGCTGTGAGGCTGGACTGCAGCTGTGGTGGCAAGTGACCAGATGTCACTGAGCAGCCTGACCATGGTCTAGGTGGTGCTTGGATGCATCCACTTGGCTTCCTTTGGTCATTGAGTTTCAAGAAGAGAAACTCCAGGAGACGGCTTGGCCAGGATCAGGCAAAAACAATCATGCCGAAAAAGTGGCAGAAAAGCTTGAAGGTCTCTCAGTGAAGGAGGAGACCAAGGAGGATGCTGAGGAGAAACAATAAATCGTCTTATTTTATTTCCTTTTCCTCTCTTTCCTTTCCTTTTTTTAAAAAAAAATTTACCCTGCCCCTCTTTTTTGGTTTGTTTTTATTCTTTTGTTTTTACAAGGGATGTTATATGAAGAGCTGAATTAAAAAAAAAAAAAAGAAGAAAAAGAAAAGTGGAAAAGGGCTAGGTAGGGAAACGCTAGGGTTCCTTTTCCCTCTCTCAAGTTCCTCCTCTCAGAAAGAAAATTTCCAGCGGGACCTACACAAAGTGCCTCGTGGCATCCAGGCATCCAGAATCCCCACGCTCACTCCCTACCCCACCCCACACTCCAGGCTGCTGACTCCAAGTACCCATAGAACCTGGCGCCTTTGGCTCCCATCTCTAAAGCCCCCAGTGCTTTCCTTTGGGTCTGCTCTTTCCAAAATAACCTGTCTTTGCTTTGTTTTTCTTCAGGATCAACCACTTCTACTATGTGATTTCTTTTCTCCTAGCCAAGATTCCCTCAGTCCAGTACCTCCTTGCTCCTTTCCAGTCTTCTGTCCTGGGAGGCTGAGATTTATGGGTCTTCCTTGCCCTCCACTACCAATTTCTATTTCCTTGACTATGCCCCTCTCTACAAGGTCTTTTTGGTTTCACTGCCTACATAGCTTTAGGTATACTACCTTTCCGCATTGTTGGAGCATGAGGCAGTTGGGCCAAAATGGCATTAAAGCCTAAAGTGAGGCATGTTCAAGATGCCACAGTGACCAAATTCACGCCATCCAGGATGCACCTGACTCTGGAAGCTGATGAGGCTAATGATGCTAACGTGTATCCTGGATCCCTGAGGTCCGCTCCCAACATCAGCCCTTCAGCCTCAGCTGGGTTCTAACAAAACCCCCTGCCACCTCCACGTTGATCTTTGTTGTCATTCTCATCGCAGTGCTTTGGTATGGGAGGTGTTAGAAAACTTAGAGACTAGAATTGTGGAGGTTGGGACCTTGTAACTCCAATAAGCACTGAAGAAGGTGTCTCTACAGTCCCTTCTTCCATGGAGCTGGAACCCCCGCACCCACCCCAAGTGTAAACCCTCTCCTCCTGCAGGTTCAAGCTCCTCAGTCCCAGGGAACTAAAACTGAATAATGTGAGGAAGCAGTGATGTTTCTGCTCAAACTGTGATCTGGATCCAGAAACTAGCCCTAAACAGCTCATGGCTTCTCAGGAAGCTTTATAAAAGGACTGTCTCACTCACATTCTGCCTACTTTCCCATCTTCCCTCCTGGGAAAATGAAGTCCAGTTAATGGAATCAGCACCTTTCCTTCATTCCTGGTAGATTAACCCTTGGCATTAAGCAGATAGATATTTCTAAGATTATTCTACCAGATTCATGAAGGCTAAAGGGAATTCCTTTTGATTTTGTCCTTGTTACTTAGGGGTCAGGGATAAGGATGGTAGAGTTGATTGAGGCCCTAGATCAGGACCATTGTCAGAAAATGAATGGCATGGCCGGGCGCGGTGGCTCACACCTTAATCCCAGCACTTTGGGAGGCTGAGGAAGGCAAATCACAAGGTCAGGAGTTCGAGACCAGCCTGGCCAGCATGGTGAAACTCTGTCTCTACTAAAAATAAAAAAATTAGCTGGGCATGGTGGCAGGTACGTGTAGTCCCTGCTACTCAGGAGGCTGAGGCAGGAGAATGGCTTGAACCCAGCAGATGGAGGTTGCAGTGAGCCAAGATCGTGCCATTGCACTCCAGCCTGGGTGACAGAGCGAGACTCTGTCTCAAAAAAAAAAAAAAAAAAAAAGGAAGGAGGGAGGAAGGAAGGAAGGAAGCTGGGCACAGTGGCTCACGCCTGTAATCCCAGCACTTTGGGAGGCCAAGACCGGCGGATCACGAGGTCAGGAGATTGAGACCATCCTGGCTAACACAGTGAAACCCTGTCACTACTTAAAATATAAAAAATTAGCCAGCCTGGTGGCGGGTGCCTGTAGTCCCAGCTACTCAGGAGGCTGAGGCAGGAGAATGGCGTGAACCCGGGAGGCGGAGCTTGCAGTGAGCCGAGATCGCACCTTGCACTCCAGCCTGGGTGTCAAAAAAAAAAAAAAAAAAAGGAAGGAAGGAAGAAAATGAATGGCATTAATTGCCTCTGTCTCTGAGGAACAGGGCACTGAAAACCAGAGGCTACTTGTGTAAGCCTCGACCTGTAGCTGTTTCAACCACCACCAACCAAAACCTCTTCCTCCCCCTCCCTCAGTCTAATTGCCGAGTTACTGTCAGCATTTCTGCCAGACATTTCAGATCTCTAATGCATTAATGCACTTAGTAGCATTCTCGATAGTGGGCTTGGCCACTGGGTTCTTGAGCTCCATTCTCAGGGAGCCTACCTACTTCAGCCCAGGGAAGGGATAGCTCAGACAAGATACCCAGAGGAGGATGAGCCCAGCAACTCATGGCCCAGGGGTCTTTCCATCATGGCCATTTGTATATTGGCTACTAAATGGCCCCTGTTTTTTATTTAAACACATGAGTTATTTTCCTGGAAAATCCGCAAAAATACGTAGTCGGTTTAATTGATTTAGAGGTTCCTGAGCCTTCAAATTCAGTAATACATAATTTGCCTTCAGAATCTTCAATTGTTTGCCTTATTTTTAAGAGTACAGGTAAAAAGGGGCCTGTAGGTGGAGGTTGCAGTGAACCGAGAGTGTGCCACTGCACTCCAGCCTGGGCGACAGATTGAGATTCCATCTCAAAAAAAAAAAAAAAGTACAGGTAAAAACAACGAACAATCGCTGTCTAGCTGTTAGGAGTGATGGAGTAGGGAAAAGTCCCTTTACATTTTAAATACTCTTGGCCCCCTCTAAACCTCAAATGCCCACTGTGGATTCAAAGGGAAGAAAAAACTAGATTCTGGCTGGGCGTTGGGACTCCATGGCAAATTGTTCCCTAAGTGAAGTATGATATGCAATTAACGTTTTTCTCCTTCTCCTCACCATTGCTTTTTGTGGGAGGGAAGCTCTCTCTTGCTCTCTCCTGTCCCCTTTTCCCATCTACTTCCATTCCTGCTTCCCCAACCTTCCATGACCCTCCCTTCCTCTTTCTTCACCTCTCTCGGACTGACTGTGGAGCAAAGCTGTCTCACTCTCTGATTCTTTGCAGATCGACGTAATTAACACATTCCAGACGGGAGCCTCTTTTAAGGGAGTCCTAAGGCGACAGAACATGGGTCAACACCTTGATGTAAAACTTGTTCCTAGTTCATCCTATGTAGCAGTTGCACCAGTCAAATCTTCCCCCACCACTTCTGTTCCTGCTGTTTCATCTCCTCCTATGGGCAGTGAGTGATAGTCTATTATGATGCATGATTTGCTAAAATGACCACAAGAGAGCACGTGGCATCCACTTTAACCAACCATGGTTATCTTTTCCTTTTGGTTTTTCCCTTTGATATTTTGACTTAAGGGAAGAAAAAGACAAAAATCCTACTCTAAAACCAGACTGTGTGCCCTTGTATTTTATTTTTGTAATGTAGAAAAGCTATTAAACCTTAACTGTTTTAAAGACAATAATTCTGTTTTCTGATTGTTCCTCTGCATTGCTCATTTCTTCCTTTTCTTGAGTTTTGTTTTGTTTTGCTTTGCCTTTTTTGTTTGTCTGTTTGTTGCTTTGCTGGGATATGTTGTTGTTCCTCTCTTCTCCTCCTGCTCCTTTGAGTCTGAACTCTACCTCCTAAGCTTAGATGTGAGGTTAGGCCAGAGGAAAACCCAAGAGCTTTCTTTACATGGGGGCAAAGTTTGGGATCTTTTGAGGAAAGGTAGGAAGGGAGCTAATGTGCCCATGGGTGTGTTTTGACTAGTGGACCTGTCATAATTGAGCCAGTATTAAACTTGGTCAATAATAATAGTCCATTTGGCCACCACTGTATTGCTGACTGGCAATTTTAGCATAAAAGTTGTAGCTGGCTGGGCACGATGGCTCACGCCTGTAATCCCAACACTTTGGGAGGCCAAAGCAGATCACGAGGTCAGGAGATCAAGACCATCCTGGCTAACATGGTGAAACCCCGTCTCTACTAAAAATACAAAAAATTAGCTGGGCGTGGTGGCGGGCACCTGTAGTCCTATAGCTACTCGGGAGGCTAAGACAGGAGAATCACTTGAACTCAGGAGGCGGAGGTTACAGTGAGCCAAGTGGAGAGCCACTGCACTCCACCCTGGGCGATAGAGCAAGACTCTGTCTCAAAAAAAAAAAAAAGTTGTAGCTATAGGTGAAGAAAAGAAAGTAGTTCAGTTCAAATGTATATGGTTGAACATCCCCGTTATTTTACTTTTCTGGGACTCCGGTTTAAAAATCAGTTAATCTTGGCTGGGTGCTGTGGCTCACACCTGTAATCCCAACTTTAGGAGGCCGAGGTGGGCGGATCACCTGAGGTCAGGAGTTCAAGACCTGCCTGGCCAACATGGCGAAACCCTGTCTCTACAAAAATACAAAAATTAGCCGGGCAATATGGTGCGTGCCTGTAATCCCAGCTACTCGGGAGGCTGAGGCGGGAGAATCACTTGAACCCGGGAGTCAGAGGTTGCAGTGAGCCGAGATAGCACCATTGCACTCCAACCTGGGCTACAGAGTGAGACTCCATCTCAAAAAAAAAAAAAAAAAGGCCAGGCACAGTGGTTCACGCCTATAATCCCAGCACTCTGGGAGGCCAAGGCAGGTGGATCATAAGGTCAGGAGTTCAAGACCAGCCTGGCCAATATGGTGAAACCCTGTCTCTACTAAAAAATACAAAAATTAGCCAGGCATGGTGGCACGTGCCTATAGTCCCAGCTACTCAGGATGCTGAGGCAGGAGAATCGCTGGAACCCAGGAGGCGGAGGTTGCGGTGAGCCAAGATGCTCTACTGCACTCCAGCCTGGGTGACAGAGACAGACTCCATCTCAAAAAAAAAAAAAAAAAAAAAAACGAAGAAAAAAAATCAATTAGTTCACATGAAGGTACGAGAAATATACAAAAGAGTCAAAATAACATTTTTTCTTCATTTACTAAACTTTTAGGAGTTTCTGAAGAGGAGTGCCTTTTATTTTGCTTCTCCTTTTCTCTAGTTTGATTGTTTCACCAATAGCCAGCACTTATTTTGCACATAAAGTTTCAGGAAGCCCTTTCTCAGCCGGACTTGCAATTGGAGTATTATCAACTCACAACCTAAGATCTGGTGTTCCCATTGGTAGATTCTTGGATTCTTGCTAATGCTTATGTCTTCCTATTCCTGGTCATTTTCCCTTCCCCAAATGGGACTCAGAGAGGAGAGAGAAGGTAGCCAGCTCTTTGCTGATAATGTGGGAAGGAGTTTATCTGTATTAAATATAATGTGGGTTTCAAATAGCTGAGTGTTCAGTCTGTTCCTTCCTCCCCCATTCCCAACCTCACCACCCCCCACCCCGACCTCTGCAAAGGGGCTCAAGAAAGAACAGTTGCCTTGTCTGTGGTTCACATGATCACGGACTGTGTGGGTTGACCAGACTTAGATTTGTTTTGTCTCTTTAGCCAAAGTGTTCTGATGTGAGGAATGGGGGTGGAACTTGATAGAGATACATACAATTTCTTTAGGTCAAAAAAACAGGCAAGAAAGAACTCACTAAGTCTTGCCCTGCAAGTATCCAGGAACCTCTCCCACCAGTTCTTTCATATTCCTCTCTTAATTCCTTTTTTCCTTCTAGTTCTGCCATCCCCTTCTAACTAGCTTCTGTTCTGTTTTAATCATCCCTTTCTGATAGGAAGGGTTAGTGTCAGATATCCTGATGGTTTGATGGTGGAAGGAGACTAAGTAGAAGACTAAGCAGAAGACTGGGATCTTGTAGAGCAGCTGGTAGAGGGTGTGCTCCAAATCCTCAAAGACTAGATCAGAGGAGAGACAGGCCACACCTGCTCTTTCTCCAGCTGTGCCTTTTTAGTTGGAGCTCCTAGAAGTTATAGCCATACATTTTAAAACCCTCTTTCCCATTCCAGATCTCCAAATGAATTCAACTGTTTGTCCAACCTTCATTAGATAGATCTCTAAGATTTCCCTGCATAGGGAGGCCCTAATCCTTTTCTTCTGGTTTCTGAAAAGAGCAGAAAACTGCCTGGCGCGGTGGCTCACGCCTGTAATCCCAGCACTTTGGGAGGCCGAGGCAGGTGGATTACTTGAGGTCAGGAGTTCGAGACCAGCCTGGCCAACATGGTGAAACCTCATTTCTACTAAAAATACAAAAAAAAATAGCTGAGTGCGGTGGCGCACGTCTGTAATCCCAGCTACTCTAGAGGCTGAGGCAGGAGAATCGCTTGAACTCGGGAGGCGGAGGTTGCAGTGAGCTGAGATCACGCCATTGCACTCCAGCTTGGGCAACAAGAGTGAAACTCCATCCCCCCCAAAAAAAAAAAAGCAGAAAACTACAGAATGAGAAAATGGAGTCTTCACCTGCCCACTCATTGAGCTGCAGAGAGTAGCCCTCAGCACTCATACCCAGTCTCCTGAGTCATGAAAAGAGTTGCCCTTCAACCAGCCACTTCCACCTGTAGGCCAGGGCCCCAAAAGAGACATTTCCCCAAGGTTTTGAGAAATGATGACCAGGAAGGGAAGGGTTGACTGGCTGTGTGGAGAGTGCTCAAAGCTTTCCCTGCACCTTCTTCACTAGCCCTGTCTTGTCCCCATACACTGCTCATGCACCAGGCATCATGCTCCAGGAAGGGGAGATGCCAGCCCTGGGTGGATTGGTGGTGATATAGTGCATGATTGTTCATCAGCATGTGTTCTCTGAGGCCAGTGCTGGAGTTGGGGCATCCTGGCACAGCCCCATGCCCTCTCCTCCCTCACCCTTCTCTCCACCCACCAAGCCAGCTGGTGCTCCCTAGCTCTCTGACCCCTCTTCACGTGAGCTTCCTTACAGGTGGCTGGTTTCCCTTTAGATTCCAGAAGTCCTGCAGTCTAGCTGGATGACTGTTTCTTGCTCCCCAAAAGACATTTCCCATATTTTTTCCATCTACCCATCCCCAATTCACTTTTATCTTCCTCATTGTTTACCTGTAACAGTATTATTGGTCACCCCAACAGGTGAGAGGAAAAGCCAACAAACAGGGCTCCAGACCCTCACTCCAACCCCAGTTGTTACAAATTTATTTTCTATAGTGGACTTCACATGTAATTTTTTCCAACAAAGTATTCAATTGAATGGAAGCAGGAAATTGAAAATCACTGATATTGAAGATGATGTACTGGCGGATAAAGGCACCTGCCCTCCTGTAATATTCAGTAGAAATTTTGAGATCTTGAAAACATATGAAAAATGTGGGCTATGTTATCACTCCTGACAGTGATGGCTTTGATGGAGTGGGATGACTTTGGACCCATCTCTTGGCCAGTGTATCTGTGCCAGGGTCAAAGGAGAAGGCACTGGGTTTGGACTCACTCAATCCAAATTGCCTTGCTCTGAGATTTTATGTAGATCAGTGAAAACTTGAGACTTCCTGAAGACCAGATGGAGCCTCCATTCCATCTGATCTCACCTAGATCTGGAGCAAAGGCAACATGATAGGTAAAATTTGCACATCAGATGGTCAAATAGGAATCAGATAATAAAAATGTGGTCCTCGCTGTCTGTTCAGCATGGTGAGTGTGTGCCTGTGCTCCCTGATTCTTCTTGGCTGAGGTGTTGAGCTGATACTGTTGAGTGGCAAGGAGTCCTTTGCCTTCTGAGCTTTGAGCACCCTCAGTCTTGGGTGGGTCTGCAGGCTGTAGTAGAGTGGGACGAGATAAAGAAAGCCTTAGCCAGCAGAGACACATTCTCCTCCAGAGAAAACGGACCAACAGTATTGATAGTGAGCCTTCTTTGAGTGGTATTTATGAAGGTTCTGTATGGTGGTAGGAAGCACTGGAACAGGTGATCCAACCAGTTTATTTGGCTGACTCTCTGTATCCTCTGCTGTCTCCAAATTCTTGTGTCTTCTCCTGGAATATATTTTTGGTTAAACAGCAGAGGAATGAAAGAGGTACCCTACCCCCACCTTCATCACTCCTACCCCTCCAACCTCAACAGTTTCCCCCACATTACTCCCATTTCTTTTCTGAGTGAAGATTTTTTGGACAAGACTAGGATCAGCCACCTTCCAACAACTAGAACCGTCCTACAACCATTTACCTTTCCCCTGGCCCCTCTCTCCAACTTCTCGGAGCTCCAACCCTCTCCCCCTACCCCAATTCTACCATCCCTGATTCTAAGCCACGCCTCAGAGAGACCTGCAGTTCAGAAAAGCAGAGCTGCCAAAATTGCTGGTGCCTGTGGACAAGCAAAAGCTGTTCACAGGCATCAATTATTGTCAGTTTTTTCTTGATGACTCTGAACTGACCGAATCCCTTCCTTTTTGCGCAGTAAGACAGAGACTATGACACTGGGCAATGCATCTCCTTTTGCCCAGTAAAACCGCACGTGGTTTCCTTTCCTTCATCCTCTTCATCCACCCCATCAGAAAGGCCACTTGTTTGTAGCACTGCCTCCTGGATTAGGTTTCTCTCCCTGGTCCCTTTCATTCCCTTCTCCACATAAGACTATGCTCCTCTTCACAATTTGGAAACAGCTAGAGAAAGCAGCATGATTGGGCACAGTTGCTGTGTATCAGAGACATGAACGTGCATTTGAATTATGAGAGCCAGGTCTTTTCTCAATAGGCAGGAGGAAGGCATCTTTTGACACCTGTATTTTATCTGCTGCTTCTAGGGAAGGGGCTGAAGGAGTGAAGTTCTGTGTTATTTGCGGGGAGGGGACACAGTGGTGGTTGTGGGATATAAAAATATGCATGTTTCCTGGCTGAAAGGGCAAATTATTATTAGAGAGTTTTAAGTTCCTGCATGCTGCTGACACAAATGAAGATTGGTTTGTCTGCCTGGCTGCACAGTTTTCATGGTCACTCGTCACCCAACCTGTATTATGTGCAGATTGGTGTATGCTGGCTCTTTGAGGTCTTTAAACAGATAACTAAACCTCAATGCATAATTTTTCCATTCCACATTCACAAAATGTTTGGCCTCAGCACAGAAATCCACATATCTCAATCATCTTTTTAAGTTTGGCTATGAATTTGCATCTAGTTCCCATGTCCTTGCCCTCCATCTAAAAGAACTAATGAAACTTCTTGTTTTCTGTTTCATTTTAAAAGTAGATTGTTTGGGAATGCTAACGTTGCTTTGGGTTTTCTACTTTTTTTAATGCAGCTTTCAAAACGTCCTAGTTGCCGTCACTCACCCCAGCCCACCCCACTGCTTGAAAGTTGAGCCATGTGATGTTTCTAGTGCCCCATGATCTCTTCTGATGTGTGTTTGGTTTTGATGCTGAGCAGTCATGTTTTATAGTCTGGGTTTTGTTTCTCTCCTAAATCCACCATCTCCTTGTTCTGCCGGCCAATTCTCACCTCTCTATTTTCTCATCCTCCTTTTCCTTCCCCTGGTATAGATCAAAGTGGTCAAAGCGTTCCATAGTTCCCTCCACGAAAGCATTCAGAAACCCTACAACCAAAAGTCCATCCACAGCTTCATGACCCACCCTGAATTCGCCATAGAGGAGGAGTTGCCACGAACACCACTCCTGGATGAGGAAGAGGAGGAAAATCCTGACAAGGCTTCTAAGTTTGGGACTAGGGTGCTCCTGTTGGATGGTGAGGTCACTCCATATGCCAATACAAACAACAATGCGGTGGATTGCAACCAAGTGCAGCTCCCCCAGTCGGACAGCTCTCTACAGAGCCTAGAGACATCAGTTTGAATTTTCTTTCTCTGACTCTCATCCCTATTTTACCTATTTCCATTTTCGTCTATCCCATCTATGAGGTGATGATGGGACTTTTCATTGTCACGTCAGCTGCTGTGTTAACAGCAGTGTGTGTGAAGTGAACCTCTACCTGACCATGAAGAGGCAAGAGCACAGACTTACAAGGATTTCAACTTAAGCTTGACTTGGGGTTTGTAGCGGGACCCAGTCAAACCCCATTCAGGTCATGGTAGAATCTACTCCTTGGTAGTCACTTGTCATTTTTAAAGAAATGATGACAATCCTCTTGGCATCACCCCACCCCACATTCTCCCCGATGTTCCTCTCCTGAATTCTGGATTTTGTCCTACAAGTCTGTGCCATTTATAAGCTAAGTTGAGGGTTCAGAGGGAGACAAATATCCCCAAGTGAAATATGTTGCGGTAGAGATGGAATGTATAAAATCCGCCAGTAGTGTGATTGTTTTTCAATTTTTCCCACTTTGAAAACTTACACCTAAAGGCCTGTAGGCCTCTAACTCTTTCTGCCCTTTCATTCAAACCTCTCCAAAGTTCTTTGTCTTTTGTCTTCCCTTCCTTTCCTTTTTTTTTTTTTTTTTTATGATGATTAAGAAAATGGAAAGGATATGGATGAATTGTGTAAACTTAGATCCTTCTCCCTTTTGGCCCAAAAGAACCCTTGATTTAGTTCCAGAATCCAACCAGTTTCTTTGTTAAAAGGGTCCTTTTGAAGCAATTAAGTGCTGGTAAGAATATTTCTCTGTTGTTGCCAGGTTACCTTCTGCTTTTAAATTGCCATCTTGTAAAGTGTATGTGGTTCTTAAGTGCCAGGGAGATCAGCCTTGCCCATGAAGGTTGCATATGTGTGGTATACAGTTTTTACCTGAAAGCCTGAGCTTTCTCTTATTCCTAAAGTGGTGGCAAAAGAATGAACTGGGTATGACCCTGCCCCCTTACTGGGCTTGGATATTGAGGACCAGACGCTGCCAAATCTAGGACAAGACAGACCATCAAAGCAGACTTTTGTGGGCTCCTCTTTGGGGTGACCACTGCTTTCAAAGCCATCTGCCAAGGCTCTCCAGGGCAGGACCTGACTGGTGGGGAATGAGTGTTCAGAAGCCTTGGGAGAGGCCAAAGAGCCATTCTAGCATGATCTGAGAAAACCTTCCTGCAGAGGCCAGAAACCTTGAGCTTAGGTGCCTGGGGACCAGCTTCGACATTCTCTCCAGTTTCTGATTCTAATTTTTGCCACGTGTCACAACTTTTCCAGTCTCTGAGAAGGTCCCAGCCTTTCTCAAATATTCTGATTTTGAAAATATGTATCCAAAGTGGGAGGCCCCTGTGACATTTTGCCAACTTAAACGAGAAAAAGACCCCCCGCACCCGGCACACTCCCCCTTCCTCCAGCCCCGCTTCAGCCACATGCTCCAGCTGCTGCCCAGTAAAGCCCTGTGCCTTTTTTTCCCCTGAATACTGCCCAAAGCATCCCCTTCCCATCTGCCTCTCAGGAGTTGGGGACTTTGCTAGGAGATTTTTTAAGTGTTCCTTACTGGGACAACGTGGAGCCACGTTTGCAGGAGCTCCATTTGTATCCCTGCTGGTGTTGACTTCTGTGTAGGGGCCAGTTCATGTCCCTGACTCTCACCTCCCATTAGATAAATGAAGCCCACCCCCCTTTCTAGAGTGATGAGAGTCAAGAAGAGGGGATGTATGAACGGCCAAATTCCCATGTGAGAGGAAGATGACCTGATCCACCTAGCCTTTTCTTCTGGATCTGTCCTCCCTCACCCCTTTCACCTGAGCTGTCCACAGTAGGAAACATAAAGAAACAATGTCCCCTACATATCCCCATGACTACATAATCCATCATCGTAGGAAATAGGAAAGCAAATTTGATTTTGGTTTTGTAAAACGTACATGCTTCAATAATTCTTTTTTGTGTCTTAAATACTCATAGGGGAAAAAAACAGCTCACCCAAGGTGTTAGGTTTCACATATATATTCATCAACTATTTTAGAAGATTTAATTCTATCAAATCTTGTATTACCTCAGATCATTTTAAATAGCAAGCCAATAACGAGCTTTGAAGGCTATTTTACCATTCCTGTTCACAAAAGGTTCTCATGGTGCCTGACAGGTTACCCTTGAGGGCTTGTGTCTACTTTTTAAAAGTCAATGGTTTTTTTTCTTGTGTTCTAGTTTCCATAATAGGAGAGAAAATATAGAAATATATGCAAAAATTATAGTTTTCTTTAGATCAGAAACTGATATTTTTGGGTCAGCCATATGTATTTTGTTTAAAGGATTTAAAATAAAGTGCCGTCATGTAGCCCTGTGGAAGGGAGCACATAACCAGCTGTTTGGCATGACAGGTGACTTAGTATATTTGTAATTGGTTTTAAAACCAATACACCATACTTTCTTTCTGCAAACAGCCATCTTTATACTTAGGGAAGAAAAATTGTTGGGTTCTAGACTTTTTTAATATAAATTTTGTTGATATGGAATTAGGTAAGTTTAAGTGTCTATGTGCATATGTTTTTTATATAAGTTTTTTCTATTCAGTTTCACTGATCCAACTGGCAGTGGGTAAATATGGCATAAGTTAATAACACTTTTCCCCAAAATGGTGCTTTGGATTTGAAAAGGGTCTGATGGGGAGAAGGAGAACGTATCATCCTAGCTTCCTCTCTTAATAAACCTAGAAAAACGGGTAGTAAACTGTGGATAGTCAGGAAAACACCCAGCAAGGGACACAGCTGTCAGGAAATGAATCTTCCCCCCAACCCCCACCATGCAGATGGATAGACAGAATCTTTCCTGACTAGTCATTAGGATCAGGGGCCTCTGTTGGATTTGTGTTTCTTGAAGAATAGCTGGCAGAGTGGTATAAAAGACACGAATATCTCCTGGTCTATAAGGATACTCTGATTTGGGGTTTGCATTTTTCATGGTTTTTATTTCCTGTTCCCCCTGGAGTTTTCCATTAGTGAGTTTTTGTGCAAGGATCTTATTTGTGATGCCTTCCCTCCCCTAGAAAGATTTTGTGCAATATATTAAATGGGGACAGAATTCTAAATGGATAAAACAATGGCTGGTTCTAGCCCTGAGTGACAGTCTTAAGGCTAGATCCTTCCCATAGTATCATCTGTCCTCTGGAATGACTCTCCTGTCCCTAAAGGGGTTAAGAGAGAGATCACCTAGAAATCCCTCTGGACACTTGTGGGTTCTTTAGGGTTTGAGTTTCTTCTTCCCCTTGAGCTTCAGAGAGGAGAGTTGGCATGGTTAAATCTGAATGGTTACCTCACTGCTGAAAACCCAGAGGGGCGTGGCACACTCGCTTGTGTGGAAAAGCCTCTAAATGCATCCCTTCCTTTCTTTCCTGCTTCCTTTGCCTTACAATTGAAGCAGCCCGTGGTACCATCACAGTATGCAGAGACTTCCTCACCTTTCATATCTAGGGACCACCCCCGATGCATTGGTGAGGGTGGGCACTTATAAATGCCTGCTATTGTTAAGCCATTCCAGCCTCTTCCTCTGAATAGACCAGACGCCCTTTCACTTAGTTCAGTGCCAGTCCTTTTGCCTTCCCAACCCTGCTGTTAGGCCTGCTGTTCCCTTTGCTCTTGATTAGGAGAGATGGAAGGAGATGAGCTCCCATAACTGAATTGGCCTTTGGTTCATGTTTTCTCCCCATATGTATATATGCCATATGTGAATATGCCATATATATGTGCCAACAAATCTATCTACGTTGTTCTTTTCAAATTAGCACGCAGATAGGAATTTTGAGTTTCTTCTTCTTTTAGTAACTAGTATAACAAGCACTGGTATTTTTGTACAAAAAAGAAAAACAAAAGATTGACTATTGTGGTCTGCATGACATAAACAAACAAATGGTGATATCAAAGCAACGTATACCCCAGTCCAGTGTGTGTTGCCATAATTTGCAATTCAGCTTAACAGTGCACCCAATCTATATTTGCATTTTGATATTATTTAAGCTCTATGTACAAGGTTTTGCATGTATTTATATGGTTCTTAGGGAAAAAAAATGCTATAAACTGCAAATCTGAAATTCAAATGTGTTGTTCCACTGAGACCAGAAGAAGAAGAGGAGTTTTAAAAGGGATAATTTGTTGGAGCCAATAAAGCTTTTTGCTGATGAACAGAAACCAATACTGCTGTGCACTGAGAATAAAAACTCATGCCCACTTGTAACTGTGCTGTCCTCAATGCGTCTCCACTTTTGGGTAATGCCACTGATTGTCTGTTGAAGTTGAGAAGGGAAATGCCGCAACCACAAGGACAACCCCATTTAAACAGGCACAGAATTCAGCTTACCACCAGACTCTGACAACGCTTCCCTTCCCTCTGGGCCTTCGCATTGGCTTCATTCCCTTGCAGTGCAAGCTGTGCTCCACCCACCTTGGTTAGAATCCACAGTTCAGGAGCTGGAGCTTTTGGAAGAATAAGAAAGAGGCAGTCTTGGCAGTCCTTGCTTTTTTTCTTTCCTTTTTTTGTTTTTTGTTTTTTTTGGTTTTGGTTTTGGTTTGTTTTATATGAAATGTCTTTTAGGAGAAGTAGTTTCCCTTACATTAGCCGCCTTTCCCTTGGGTTCTCCACCCTCCCCCTCACTTCCCTATGGTTTAAAAAATGTCTTTCATTAATTGAGTCTTGCTAGAGACTCATATTAGGCCCCAGTTTCAGGTCAAAACAGCTTCCTGGCAGGTCATTTACATTCTGAGCTTTCATATCTGAGACAACTCCTTCCTGCAGCTCTCATCCAGGTGCACGACGAAGTTCCCCAACCCTCTTTTAAAATATCACAGGGAGGAGCCAGGCACAGTGGTTCACACCTGTTGTCCCAGCTACTGGGGAGGGGAAGGGGCTGAGGCGGGAGGATCGCTTGAGCCCAGGAGTTCAAGTCCAGCCTGGGCAACATGGCAAGACCCCATCTCTAAAATACACACACACACACACACACATCATAAGGAGGAAAGGACCTTGTCCACTCCCCAAATTCCTTTAGGAAAAGCATGACATTGAAGAACGCCCCAAACTCTCCTGGCTATTTTAATAGTCTGGCTCTGAAAGAGGATCTAGCCCTGGTTGAAAAAGACTTATGGCCGGGTGCAGTGGCTCACGCCTGTAATCCCAACAGTTTGGGAGGCCAAGATGGGTGGATCACCTGGGGTCGGGAATTCGAGACCAGCCTGACCAACATGGAGAAACCCCATCTCTTCTAAAAATACAAAAATTAGCCAGGCATGGTGGTACATGCCTGTAATCCCAGCTACTCGGAGGCTGAGGCAGGAGAATCACTTGAACCTGGGAGGCAGAGGTTGCGGTGAGCCAAGATCACGCCATTGCACTTCAGCCTGGGCAACAAGAGTGAAACTCCATTTCAAAAAAAAAAAAAGAAGGTCCGAGCGCAGTGGCTCATACCTATAATCCCAGCACTTCGGGAGGCCAAGGCAGGCGGATCACCTGAGGTCAGGGGTTCGAGACGAGCCTGACCAACATGGAGAAACCCTGTCTCTACAAAAAATAAATTCAGCCAAGCGCAGTGGCTCATGCCTGTAACCCCAGCACTTTGGGGGGCCAAGGTGGGCGGATCATGAGGTCAGGAAATTGAGACCATCCTGACTAACACAGTGAAACCCCATCTCTACTAAAAAATACAAAAAACTAGCCGGGCGTGGTGGCAGGTGCCTGTAGTCCCAGCTACTCGGGAGGCTGAGGCAAGAGAATGGCGTGAACCTGGGAGGCGGAGCTTGCTGTGAGCCGAGATCATGCCACTGCACTCCAGCCTGGACAACAGAGCAAGACTCCGTCTCAAAAAAAACAAAACAAACAAACAAAAATACAAAAATCAGCCGGGCGTGGTGGTGCATGCCTGTTATCCCAACTATTCAGGAGGCTGAGGCAGGAGAATCACTTGAACCTGGGAGGTAGAGGTTGTGGTGAACCGAAGTCACACCATTGCACTCCAGCCTAGGCAACAAGAGTGAAACTCCATCTCAGAAAAGAAAAGAAAAAGACTTAAATGATCTGAGATCTTATCCCCACTTTTCTTTTCTGTCCTAGGTTGCTCTCCACAGGCATTGAACACATTGCCCACTTAGTTTCTTTAAAATAGGGGATGGAGAATAAATAATGAACTTAACAAACAAAAATGAAAATAGGCTGGGCACAGTGGCTCACGCCTGTAATCTCAGCACTTTGGGAGGCCGAGGTGGGTGGATCACAAACTCAAGAGATCGAGACCATCCTGGCCAACATGGTGAAACCCCATCTCTACTAAAAATACAAAAATTATCTGGGCATGGTGCCATGCGCCTGTAGTCCCAGCTACTCGGGAGGCTGAGGAAGGAGAATTGCTTGAACCCAGGAGGCAGAGATTACAGTGAGCCGAGATCGCGCCATTGCACTCCAGCCTTGCAACAGAGCAAGACTCCGTCTCAAAAAAAAAAGAAAGAAAAGAAAGTCTGCTTTTTCCATTGTAGTTTCCCTCCTAAATACTCTTGCTGAAAAGGATGTAACACATATGAACCCCTATACGGTCCTTTCTAAAGCTTGGCCCTCTATTTCTTCTCTCACCCCCACTTTGTGTTTGTTGGACCATAGATCTGTGCCTCTCTGCCATGCCAAACAGAGGATCTTAAGGATCCACGTCTCTTAACCCCAGGATATGGTAAGGAATGGTGAAGAATGAACCTCCTACGTATCATTCTGGCAGAGACCACTATATCCTAAGGTGTTGGCTCAAGAGAATGTAAAGGCCAGCTCAGCAACTTGGACCTAGGTCACTGTATGGAAAAGAGCATACTCTGTTCTTCCATTCTTTTCCCTTACCCCAGTTCTAGAAAAGAATAATAGCTTTGCCTTCCATCTTTTCTTTTTCTTTTTTTTTTTTGAGATGGAGTTTCACTCTTGTTGCCCAAGTGGGAGTGCAATGGTGTGATCTCGGCTCACTACAACCTCTGCCTCCAGGGTTCAAGCAGTTCTCCTGCTTCAGCCTCACGAGTAGCTGGGATTACAGGCGTGCGCCACCATGCCCGGCTAATTTTTTGTATTTTTAGAAGAAACGGGGTTTCACCATGTTAGCCAGGCTGGTCTCGAACTCCTGACCTCAGGTGATCCGCCTGCCTTGGCCCCCGCAAAGTGCTGGGATTACAGGCATAAGCCACCACGCCCAGCCTGCCCTCCATCTTCAGTAATGGTTTGTGAGTCTCCCCTTTCTCCACTAGTCCATATCGTCTCCCTGCGGTCATCAGTTTGAAGCTCTCTACCAAGCCCACCTGGTTCCCCCAAAGTATACACATGACCAGGCAACTCCCTGACCTACTCTGTGGTGAATCCAAAGAAGATGACTCCTTGGGTTCCAGTGAGATATTTACCAGCCCCTGACCTGGGTTTGTTAAAGCGTGGCCTTCTTGTCACTACAAGCAGGAAGGAGAATGAGAATGGCATGTCCTTCACCAACAAATAATTGTGAAGCTTTGTTGTAAATAATACATGTAAACATGTTACCATTTCTGTGCAGGATCATTAACATCCAGTTACCTCCACCATGAACCTAAGCCATGAGAGGTACTGACCTATTAGATTCATAGACAGAAAGCTTTCAGCTTGAAAGGTAGCAGCTTCTGGGTTCTGGGCTTGCCTATGTCCTGATGTACAACCAATCATAAACAAGTCTTTACTTCTCTGACTCTTTTCAAATAATACTTTCCTGGCCCAGCATCATCTCCCTGTCCTCAGAAGACATGCACAAAACAGAGATCAGTCTCTTTAGAATGGCCTCCCGCTGCCTTCTAAAAGGCTGGTGGCAAAACAAGAATGCTAGCTCGGAAGGCAGTGGTTCATGCCTGTAATCCCAGCACTTTGGGAGGCTGAGGTGGGCGGATCACCTGAGGTCAGAAGTTCAAGACCAGTCTGGCCAACATGGTGAAACCCTGTCTCTACTAAAAATACAAAAATTAGCTGAGCGTGGTGGTGTGCACCTGTAATACCAGCTACCCGGGAGGCTGAAGCAGAAGAATCCCTTGAACCCAGGAGGCGGAGGTTGTAGTGAGCCAAGATCACGCCACTGCACTCCAGCCTTCCAACATAGGTGACAGAGCAAGGCTCCATCTCAAAAAAAAAAAAAAAAAAGAATTGAAATAATCTACATATTTGGATAGCCAGATTACAATCAGAAATTTAACTTCTGCTCATGAACTCTACGCAAAGGGGAAATAATAGAACTGTCTGAGTGGCTAGTGCCATTACACTCACAGGGCATATATCTGTCCCTACTCCTTTTTTTGTTTTTGAGACAGGGTCTTGCTCTGTCACCCAGGCTGGAGAGCAGTGGCATGACCAAGGCTTACTGCAGCCTTAGACTCGGCTCAAGTTATCCTTCCATCTTAGCCTTCCAAGTAGCTGAGACTACAGGCATGCACCACCATGCCTGTAATTTTTTTTAAGAGATGGAGTCTTACTATGTTGTTCAAGCTGGAGTCAATCACCTGGCCCCAAACTATCCTCCCACCTCAGCCTCCCAAATGTTGGGATTACAGGCATGAGCCACCATGCCTGGCCTGTCTCTACTTTAGAATAGAACTGGGCCCTGTGTTCAAGCTTAAGCATCACTTGATTTCTCTGGTGTCTCCTATAACAGAGGACATATAGACCATCTCCTTTTAGCACATTCTTTTTCCAAACACAGCACAATTGATTTAAGCTTTCTTGCTATGCTAGACCCAGGAAGACTGCATTGAAAGACTGATTTGTGTTTTATAACTCCAGATCTTCATGTCTTCACCTATTTAAAGCAAGTATATATGATAACTCATTTGAAAGAGGGAGTAAGGCTGGGAAGAGCTGGACTGGTACCTACAGATTGCCTTTAACCATGCTTAAGAGAAGAACAAATATATCCATGATCATCCAAAACCCTTTATTTAAGTCAAGAATTCCTGCATCTGACCAGCCTGGCCAACATGGTGAAACCTCATCTCTACTAAACTTACAAAAATTAGCTGGGCATGGTGGCTCATGCCTGTAATCCCAGCTTCTCTGAAGGCTGAGGTGAGAGGATCACTTGAACCCAGGAGGCGGAGGTTGCAGTGAGCTGAGATTGCACAACTGCACTCCAGCCTGGGTTACAAAGATAGATCCTGTCTCAATAAATAAATAAATAAATAAATAATAAAAATAAAAATAAAAAATTCCTGCTGGGCGCAGTGGCTCATGCCTGTAATCCCAGCACTTTGGGAGGCCAAGGCAGGCAGATTGCCTGAGCTCAGGAGTTCAAAACCAGCCTGGGCAACATGGCAATACCCTGTATCTACTAAAAATACAAAAACTTAGCCAGTCGTGGTGACAGGCACCTGTAATCCCAACTACTCAGGAGGCTGAGGCAGCAGAATCACTTGAACGTGAGAGGTGGAGGTTGCAGTGAGCCGAGATCATGCCACTGCACTCCAGCCTGGGCAACACAGCAAGACTCTCTTTCCGAAAAAAAAAAAAAAAGAGAGAATTCCTACATCTTTCCTATCAAACCTTTTGAATTGAGCTGCTGCTGCTGACCGGGTAGGAAAGGAAGGCGTTTAAATGTTTCTCTGCTTACTCTTTGATCGAGGAGCTAAAATGGCAAAATTAGAGTAAGATTCTGATGTGCAGCTGATTGGAAGGCAGGAGACACATGCCCTGACCTCAACTCTGCTTCTTGACCAGCTTGATTTCCCATGTGTACAAGGAGATCATTAAAGTACATCATTTTCAAATTACATTTTGAAGATCAGAAAGGAACTCCTGAGAGATAATTTAGGGTCGACAGGCGTTCAACAAAAATAGCACATTTTTAAAACGTTTTTGGGCCAGGCACGGTGGCTCACACCTGTAATCCTAGTTCTTTGGGAGGCCGAGGCGGGTACATCACTTGAGGTCAGGAGTTCGAGACCAGCCTGGCCAACATGGTGAAACCCTGTTTCTACTAAAAAAAAAAATTAGCCAGGCGTGGTGGCACATGCCTATAGTCTCAGGTACTTGGGAGGCTGAGGCTGGAGGATTGCTTGAACCCAGGAGGCAGAGATTGCAGTGAGCTGAGATTGCATCACTGCACCCCAGACTGGGAGACAGAGTGAGACTCCATCTCAAAAAAAAAAGAAAAAGAAAAAGAAAAAATGTTATTGGCTTCCAGGTCAGCTATAGCTTTTAAAAAATGACTTTAAAACACTGACCAGCTGGGTGCAATGGCTCAGGCCTGTAATCCCAGCACTTTGAGAGGTCAAAGCAGGAAGATGGATTTAGGCCAGAAGTTCAAGACCAGCCTAGGCAACATAGTGAAACCTCATCTCTATTAAAAATTTTGGCCAGGCATGGTGGCTCACGCCTGTAATCCCAGCACTTTGGGAGGCCGAAGTGGGCAGATCACCTGAGGTCAGGAGTTCAAGACCAGCCTGGCCAACATAGCGAAACCACGTCTCTACTAAAAATACAAAAATTAGCTGGGCATGGTGGTGGACGCCTGTAATCCCAGCTACTCAGGAGGCTGAGCAAGAGAATTGCTTGAACCCGAAAGGGGTTGTAGTGAGCCAAGATTGTGCCACTGAACTCCAGCCTGGGTGACAAAGCAAGACTCCATCTCAAAAAAAAAAATTAATTTTTAAAAATTAGCCAAGCATGGTGGTGCACACCTATAGTTCCAGCTACTCAGAAGGCTGAGGTGGAAGGATCACTTGAACCCAGGAGGTTGAGGCAGCAGTGAGTTGTGATGAGGCCACTCCAGCTGGAGTGACAGAACAAGATCCCATTTCAGAAAAACAAAAACAAAAAACACTAACCTAGTTCATCCTTAAAGTCCCTGCCAACTCTGAAATGCTATGATTGTAATTAACAAAACAAACAGTCCAAAGTTGAGTGGTAATATAACAAATTGTGTTCAAGCAAACAAGCAAGCCTAACTTGGATCCTGTCTCAATTATCTGCCACTACCATTATCAATGCATGCACAGGTAAAATTCAGCAAAGCTTAATGACTGTAGTCTAGCCTGCTGAGACTATTATCTAGCTGATTCTGCAGTGGAATGATAACCTTCTGCGTTGAAATTTATGATGGAAAGAGCAGTTGTTTGGGAATGCAGAGATCTAACCCAGTGGAATGGCATAAAATCAGAGAGGAGAAGCGAGGTGTCTCATCCAAGGTGTCGTGGAAAGAACTTGGTCTGGGAATTAGAAGGCCTCTGTTGTAATGCTGACCCTGAACCTAGCTTGCTCTGGAACCTAAGGGTCTTTCCAACTCTGACACTCTTTCCATTCTTGCTCTCACATCTAATTGCTATTAATAACCACTGAAGAATGTCTACATAAAATTTCTCTTTCATTGCTTTATCTCCCTGGAATGTAGCATTATTGTGTGTGTATAGAACGTGTACTGCATACCAGAACATGTGCCGGCAGGCTTCACATCAGGCTCAGCCACTTGTATCTGCAACAAAGACAAATTTATCCACACCCCTAAAGTGCAAATATGTTTCCTTTTTTTTTTTTTCCCCTGCAGAGGGAGATTTGCTGTTGTTGCTCAGGCTGGAGTGCAATGGCTCCATCTCGGCTCACTACAACCTCTGCCTCCTGGGTTCACAGGATTCTCCTGCCTCAGCCTCCCGAGTAGCTGAGATTACAGGCGTGTGCCACCACACCCAGCTAATTTTTGTATTTTTAGTAGAGATGGGATTTCTCCATGTTGGTCAGGCTGGTCTTGAACTTCTGACCTCAGGTGGTCCACCCACCTTGGCCTCCCAAAGTGCTGGAATTACAAACATGAGCCACAGCGCCCAGCCTCTTTTTTTTTTTTTTTGAGCTGGTGTTTCACTCTTATTGCCTAGGCTGGAGTGCAATGGTGGGATCTTGGCTCACTACAACCTCCGCCTCCTGGGTTCAAGCAATTCTCCTGTCTCAGCCTCCCAAGTAGCTGGGATTACAGGTGTGTGCTACCAAGCCCGGCTAATTTTTTTTTTCTTTTTTTCTTTTTTTGTTTTTTTTTTTGGTTTTTTTTTTTTTTGGTTTTTTTTTTTTTGTATTTTTAGTAGAGACAGGGTTTCACCATGTTGATCAGGCTGGTCTTGAACTCCTGACCTCAGGTGATCCGCCCACCTCAGCCTCCCAAAGTGCTGGGATTACAAGCATGAGCCACCACACCAAGCCTCCTTATTTTTTTCTAAATCAAATCTAGCACTGAACTAGCTTGCACTCACCAAGATCAGTGAGAGGTCTCTCTTTAGTCATTTTTTGTCCTCTTGTCTCCTCCCCCTTGGATATTGATCCACTCACTCACTCATTTAACAAGTATTTATGGTGCCAGGCACTGCGGATAAACAGAATAAAGTCCCTTACCTCTTAGAATGTAGTCTTGTGGAGGAGAAACAAACAAGTAAGCCAGGCATGATGGTGTGTACCTGTTGTCCCAGATACTCAGGAGGCTGAGGCAGGAAGATCACTTGAGCCCAGGAGTTCGAGGCTGCAGTGAGCTATGATCACATCACTGCACTCCAGCCTGAGGGACAGAATGAGACCCTATTGCTAAAAAATTAAAATAAATTAAATTTTAAAATTTAAAGAAACAAGTAAATATACAGCATGTCAAGTGGTAATAAGAACCAGGGAGGAGGCCGGGCGTGGTGGCTCATGCCTGTAATCCCAGCACTTTGGGAGGCCAAGGTGGGTGGATCACCTGAGGTCAGGAGTTTGAGACCTGCCTGGCCAACATGATGAAACCTTGTCTCTATTAAAAATACAAAAAATTCGCTGGGCGTGGTGGTGTGCGCCTGTAATCCCAGCTACTCGGCAGGCTGAGGCAGGAGAATCACTTGAACCCAGGAGGCGGAGGCTGCGGTGAGCTGAGATACACCATCGCACTCCAGCCTGGGCAACAAGACTAAAACTCCATCTCAAAAAAAAAAAAAAAAGCGGGGTGGGGGGCAAGGCGCGGTGGCTCATGCCTATAATCCTATCGCTTTCGGAGGCCAAGGTGGGTGAATCACCTGAGGTCAGCAGTTCGAGACCAGCCTAATCAACATGGCAAAACCCCATCTGTACTAAAAATACAAAAATTAGCCAGGCGTGGTGGCAGGTGCCTGTAATCCCAGCTACTTGGGAGGCTGAGGCAGGAGAATCACTTGAACCTGGGAGGTGGAGGTTGCAGTGAGCCGAGATCACGCCACTGCACTCGAGCCTGGGCAACAGAGACTCCATCTCAAAAAAAAAAAAAAAAAAGAAATAACACCCCGGTTAGTAAGTGAAATGTTCTACTCACTCAAGACAGGCACCAAAAAGAATGCCTTCACCTGTGCCTTCCCTGTTCTGGTCCCCCACTCCTGTTGTCACATTCACTGTCTGGTCCCCAGGCAGGCCCTCCACCCTCCTCACCTCCATGGAGACACGCTGTGCCCTCATCTAAGTCCTGACGTGACTAATGACCCTGCCCCCTCTGCTAAGGAGTGCCCCCTTTCTGCACAGCTCTGGGGTCCGAATCTGTGTGTGTGTGTGCTTGAAAGAGAGAGGCTGGCTCACTCACAGTGGGCTGTTCGCACTCACTCCCTCTGGGCTGAGGGACAGTGTGGGGCTGCTCGCAGGTATTTGCTCATCCCTACACGCCTCACAGCTACCTCCGCATTGTGGCTGTGCAGCTGGTAGGTCTCAAGGGACACTGGGGAGGCTGCCAAACAGAGAACCCCAGAAGGAACAAGGAGGCAGAGGCCTGCTTTGCTCTCGGGGCACCAGACTTAAGAAAAGGGTTCTAGGCTGGGTGCAGTGGCTCACGCCTGTAATCCCAGCACTTTGGGAGGCCGAAGAGGGCGGATCACCTGAGACTGGGAGTTCGAGACCAGCCTGGCCAACACGGCGAAACCCCATCTCTACTGAAAATACAAAAGTTAGCCGGGCGTGGTGGCAGGCGCTTGTAATCCCAGCTACGTGGGAGGCTGAGGCAGGAGAATCACTTGAACACAGGAGGCAGAGGTTGTGGTGAGCCGAGATCGCACCATTGCAACAAGAGAGAAACTCCATCTCAAAAAATAAAAGAGAAAAAAAGAAAAGAAAGAAGGAAGGAAGGAAGGAAGGAAGGAAGGAAGGAAGGAAGGAAGGAAGGAAGGAAGGACGGAAGGAAGGAAGGAAGGAAAGAAAAGAAAAGAAAGAGAAAGAAAGAGAGAAAGGAAAGAAGAAAGAGAGAAAGGAAGGAAGGAAGGAAGGAAGGAAGGAAGGAAGAAAGAAAGAAAGAAAGAAAGAAAGAAAGAAAGAAAGAAAGAAAGAAAGAAAGAAAGAAAGAAAGAGAAAGAAAGAAACAGAAGAAAAGAAAGAAAGAAACGGTTCTCAGGCCGGGCGCGGTGGCTCATGTCTGTAATCTTAGCACTTTAGGAGGCTGAAGCGGGTGGATCACCTGAGGTCAGGACTTCAAGACCAGCCTGGCACATGCCTGTAATCCCATCTCCTTGGGAGGCTGAGGCAAGAGAATCACTAGAATCTGGGAGGTGGAGGTTGCAGTGAGCTGAGATCGCATCATTGCACTCCAGCATGGGCAACAAAGTGAGACTCCATCTCAAAAAAAAAAGAAAAGGGTTCTCTTACCCATCAGCAGTACCAACCCACCTCTTCCATTAGGGTTTGGCCTAAGCGGGGGAACAGAAACTTCCTCTAGTCTGCTCACACACTCTTTGCTTGCAAATACATACTCCTCACTCTTCTCAAGGGTCTCGGGTAGAGAGGGGACAGGGAGCAGAGAAATGTTTCTGTACTTTTCTAAATCTTTCTTTCCTAACCCCGGTCTCTCACAACTTTAACTTCAAAAGGAGGCATTTGCTGCCTTTGTTTTCTGTTTCAGACTTGTCTGGACTGGAGAGGCCTCCAGGATATATGCAAATACATGAGGAAGGGTGGGTGGGGGTTGCCACCATTAAGGCTTCCTGTGTCTTCTTCGTATCATAGTTGTCCCAGCCCTCAAACCAAAAACAAAGTCTGATTAGGATTGTCTTTCACACAGGACAGTTTTGGCATTTTTTTTTTTTTCAAGACTGCGTCTTGCTCTGTTGCCCAGGCTGGAGTGCAATGGCATGATCTCAGCTCACTGCAACCTCCGCCTCCCAGGTTCAAGCAATTCTCCTGCCTCAGCCTCCCAAGTAGCTGGGACTACAGGCACACACCACCATGCCCAGCTAATTTTTATATTTGTAGTGGAGACAGAGTTTCACCATGTTGGCCAGGCTAGTCGCCAGCTCCTGACCTTGTGATCCACCTGCCTCGGCCTCCCACAGTGCTGGGATTACAGGTATGAGCCACCATGCCCGGCCCAATTTTGGCATTTGGAAGCACAGAAATGCTGGGTGTGGTGGTTCATGCCTGTAATCCCAGCACTTTAGGAGGCCAAGGCAGGCGGGTCACGAGGTCAGGAGATCAAGACTATCCTGTCTAACAGCGTAAAACCCCCGTCTCTACTAAAAATGCAAAAATTAGCCGGGCATGGTGGCGCATGCCTGTAATCCCAGTTACTTGGGAGGCTGAGGCAGGAGAATCACTTGAACCTGGGAAGAGGAGGTTGCAGTGAGCTGAGATTGTGCCATTGCACTCCAGCTTGGGCAACAAGAGCGAAACTCCGTCTCAAAAAAAAAAAAAAAGGAAGCACAGAAATACAAAAGCTACTGGGTTTTTTTGTTTTTTGAGGCAGGGTCTTGCTTTGTTGCCCAGGCTGGTCTTGAACTCAGGCTCAAAGTGATCCTCCCACCTCGACCTCCCAAAGTGCTGGGATTACAGGAGTGAACCACCATGCCCGGCCGCAAAAGCTACTGTTAACACTTTGGTAGGGCAAAGGAGACCCAACACAGGGCGCAGGTTACCCTTCCTATGAGAATAGAGAGGACAGTCTTTTTTCTTTGGCTAAGGAGAGCACAGCAGGAAAAAACATTAGCTGCTGATTTTTTCCTCCATGGCCCATCCTATTGTTACTGGAAAGGGGTCCCAATCCTGACCCCAGAAGAGGGTTCTTGGATCTTGCACAAGAAATAATTTGGGGTGAGTCCATAAAGTGAAAGCAAGTTTACTAAGAAAGTAAAGGAATAAAGAATGGCTACTCCATAGGCAGAGCAGCCTCCAAGGGCTGCTGGTTGGCTACTTTTTAATGATTATTTCTTGATTATGTGCTAAACAAGGTGTAGATTATTCATAAGTTTTCTGGCAAAGGGGTGGCCAATCCCCAGAACTTAGGGTTCCTCTCCTTTTTAAACCATATAGGGTCTGATGTTGCCATGGCATTTGTAAACTCTCACGGCACTTGTGGGAGAGTCTTTTAGCATGCTTATGAATTATAATTAGTGTATAATAAACAGTGAGAATTACCAGAAGTTGCCACCTTGGTTTAGGGCTTTTTTACCACATGCGGTTTGTGTTTTTTTTGTTGTTGTTGTTTGGTTGGTTGTTTTGTTTTTGTTTTTGTTTTTGTTTTTGACGGAGTCTTGTAGTCTTGCTCTGTCACCAGGCTGGAGTGCAGTGGCACGATCTCAGGTCACTGCAACCTCTGCCTCCTGGGTTCAAGTGATTCTCCTGCCTCAGCCTCCCGAGTAGCTGGGACTACAGGCATGCACCATCACGCCCAGCTAATTTTTTTGTATTTTTAGTAGAGACAGGCTTTCACTGTGTTAGCCAGGATGATCTCGATCTCCTGACCTCATGATCTGCCCACCTCAGCCTCCCAAAGTGCTGGGATTACATGTGTGAGTCACTGCGCCCGGCTACATGCTGTTTTATCAGCAAGGCCTTTGTGACCTGTATCTTGTGCCGACCTCCTATCTCATCCTGTGACTAATAATGCCTTAACCTCCTAAAAATGCAGCCCAGTAGGTCTCAGACTTATTTTACCCCTCCCCTATTCAAGATGCAGTCACTGTGGTTCGAACACCTCTGACACCGTCACACATTTATGTCCCAAATTCACAGCAGCAAGGAGCACCTAAGAGACCTTTTCAGATGGCCCAATTAACTCCTGTGGTCAGGCACTGTGCTAAATGCCAGATATGCAATAAATAAAACATAGCCCCTGCCCTCAGGTTCTCAAAGTCTACTTGGGGAGACAAACATTTAAACAAATAACTCCAGCGACTTGAGAGATGCTCTCACAAAGATGCATGCACAGTGTGATGGGGGCACAGAAGAGGAAACCCAGGTCTCAGAAGGGAAAGGCTCACAGAGGTGGTGGTACTTGGGGCACATTTTTTAAAATAATAATTTTGGTTTATTTTTGTTGTTGTTTCAGAGACAGAGTCTTGCTCTGTCACCCAGGCTGGAGTGCAGTGGTGCAATCATAGCTAATCATAGCTCACTACAGCCTCAAATTCCTGGGTTTGAACAAACCTCTTGCCTCAGCCTCCCCAGTAGCTGAGACTACAGGTGTTTGCCACCATGCCTGGCTAAATTTTACAAAAAAATTTTTAGGCCAGGCACGGTGGCTCACACCTGTAATCCCAGCACTTTGGAAGGCCGAGGTGGGCGGATCACAAGGTCAGGAGTTCGAGACCAGCCTGGCCAACATAGTGAAACCCCATCTCTACTAAAAATACAAAAAAAAATTAGCTGGGCATGATGGTGTGCGCCTGTAATCCTAGCTACTCAGGAGGCTGAAGCAGGAGAATCACTTGAACCTGGGAGGCAGAAGTTGCAGTGAGCCGAGATTGTGCCACTGCACTCCAGCCTGGGGGTCACAGCAAGACTCCATCTCAAAAAATAAGAAAAAATTTTTTTAGAGCAGAGGTCTTACCATGTTGCCCAGGTGCAATAGATAGTTTTTTTCTATAAAAATGACACTCAGCTGGGCGCGGTGGCTCATGCCTGTAATCCCAGCACTTTGGGAGGTGGAGGTGGGCGGATCACCTGAGGTCGGGAGTTCGAGACCAGACCGACCAACATGGAGAAACCCTGTCTCTACTAAAAATACAAAATTAGCCGGGCGTGGTGGCCCATGCCTGTAATCCCAGCTACACGGGAGACTGAGGGAGGAGAATCGCTTTAACCCAGGAGGCAGAGGTTGCGGTGAGCGGAGATCGCGCCATTGCACTTCAGCTTGGGCAGCCAGAGGGAAACTCCGTCTCAAAAAACAAAAAAGCACTCAATCTTTGTAAAAGTTCAAGCAGTTAAGAGTCCAAAGAAGAAAGTAACAAAACACCTCAGCCCCATAACTGAGAAAGAGCCAGTATAAAGTTTTAAAGTGTGACTTTACTGGAATTTTACATGAGAAAAAGAAGCTGCTGTTAAAATGAAGGAACTTAGGCCCAGCGCAGTGGCTCACACCTGTAATCTCAACGCTTTGGAAGGCCAATGCGAGCAGATCACTTGAATTCAGGAGTTTGAGACCAGCCTGGCCAAGATAGTGAAACCCCATCTCTACTAAAATAGACAAAAAAATAGCCAGGTGTGGTGGCACACACCTGCAATCCCAGCTACTTGGGAGGCTCAGGCATGAGAATTGCTTTAACCCTGGAGGCAGAGGTTGCAGTGAGCCGAGATCATGCCACTGCACTCCAGCCTGTGTGACAGAGTGAGACTCTGTCTCAAAATAAATTAACGGGCCGGGCGTGGTGGCTCACGCCTGTAATCCCAGCACTTTGGGAGGCCGAGGCAGGTGGAACACCTGTGGTCAGGAGTTTAAGATCAGCCTGACCAACATGGAGAAACCCTGTCTCTACTAAAAATACATAAATTAGCCAGGCATGGTGGCACACGCCTGTAATCCCAGCTACTCGGGAGGCTGAGGCAGGAGAATCACTTGAACCTGGGCGGAAGTTGCAGTGAGCTGAGATAGCGCCATTGCACTCCAGCCTGGGCAACAAGAGAGAAACTCCATCTCAAAAAAAAGAAAAATTAACTAAATTAAATTAAGGAACTCAGTGGGGTGTGGTGGCTCATGCCTGTAACCCCAGCACTTGGGAGGCTGAAGCTATCAGAGGCATGTGAACCAGGGCAACTTCATCTTGAATAGGGGCTGGGTAAAATGAGGCTGAGACCTATTGAGCTGCATTCCAAGTCAGTTAAGACATTCTAAGTCACAGGATGAGATAGGAGGTCAGCACCAGATACACGTCATAAAGATCTTGCTGATAAAACAGGCTGCAGTAAAGAAGCCGGCCAAAACCCACCAAAACCAAGATGGTGACAAGAGTAACCTCTGGTCATCCTCACTGCTGTACTCCCACCAGTGCCATGACAGTTTAACAATGTCATGGCAATGTCAGGAAGTCATCCTGTAAGGTCTAAAAGGGGAGGCATGAATAATCCACCCCTTGTTTAGCATATAATCAAGAAATAACTATAAAAATGGGCAACCAGTAGCCCTCAGGGCTGCTCCATCTATGGAGCAGCCATTGTTTATTCCTTTACTTTCACTTTACTCTATGGACTCACCCTGAATACTTTTTTTTCTTTCTTTTTTTTTTTTTTTTTCTTGAAACAGAGTTTTGCTCTTGTTGCCCAGGCTGGAGTGCAGTGGTGCAATATTGGCTCACTGCAGCCTCCATCTCCCTGGTTCAAGTGATTCTCCTGCCTCAGCCTCCCGAGTAGCAGGAATTACAGGCACGCACCATTACACCCAGCTTTGTATTTTTGGTAGAGATGAGGTTTTACCATGTTGGCCAGGGTGGTCTGGAACTCCTGACCTCAAATGATCTGCCCACCTCGGCCTCCCAAAGGGCTGGGATTATAGGCGTGAGCCACCGTGCCAGGCCTGTCCTGAATACTTTCTTGTGCGAGATCCAAGAACCCTCTCTTGGGGTCTGAATCAGGGCTCCTTTCCAATAACAAAGTGGGTGGATTGCTTGAGCCCAGGAGTTCGAGACTAGCCTGGGCAACATGACGAAACCTTGTCTCTGCAAAAAAATACAAAAATTAGCCAAGCATGATGGTGCACGCCTGTAGTCCTAGGTATTCAGGAGGCTCAGGTGACTGCTCCACTGCACTCCAGCCTGGGTGACACAGTGAGACTCTGGAAAAAAAAAAAGAGAGAGAGAAATAAAGAAAGAAAAGAAAGAAAGAAAGAAGAAATAAAACAGAAGGAACTCGCATAAAGGCCCAGAATACAAAAGTGACAATGAACTGGGTCTGCTTGGAATGCAGTGTGCAGCTGCAAGACGGCAGCACGCCTGACTGGCCACTTTGCAGTAAGGACTGTCTGTTTTAGGTACAAATCCAATGCCTAGTGCAATGCCGTGGGAGATGTCCCATCAATATGTATTTAAAGCATAAAGTAATACCTGGGAGGCAGGCAAGTAAGCATCAAGAAAAGAGAAAGGCTAAAGGGGGCCATTAAGAATAAAGAAATGAGTTAGTGTCATAATAGCATAATAGCAGCCCCATTTAATGAGCTCTTAAATACGCCTAGTCCTAAACCAAGCATTTTTCATTGTTGGCCCAATTAATTCTCACAACATTACATAAGTAGTAGTATTATTGTCATTTTACAGCCAAGGAAACACCCAAAAAGATTAGATGAACTGCTAAGGTCAGCCAGGTAGTAATTTAGAACTTGAACTCAGGTTGATGTTTTGAACATGTGCTTTCTGCCTTCACAAAGAGAACTTCTGGAAAGTTTCTGGTGTTAGCAACATCATGAAAATAACACATAGTTCCCCCATCCCCACCAAGGGACTTTGTGGACTTAGATACATAAATTATTTCTATTTAAAACCAATCTTAAGCCAAGTGCTGTGGCTCATACCTGTAATCCCAGCACTTTGGGAAGCCTAGGCAGCTGGACCACTTGAGCTCAGGAGTTGAAGACTAGCCTGGCCAACAAGGCAAAACCCCGTCTCTACAAAAAATACAAAAATCAGCCAGGCATGGTGGCATGTGCCTGTAATCCCAGCTACTTAGGAGACTGAAGAAGGAGAATCACTTGAATCCAGAAAGTGGAGTTTGCAGTGAGCCTAGATCATGCCACTGCATTCCAGCCTGGGCGACACAATGAGACTCTGCCTCAAATAAATAAATAAATAAAACCAGTTTAGGGCCAGGGGCGGTGGCTCACACCTGTAATCCCAGCACTTTGGGAGGCTGAGGCAGGCGGATCACCTGAGGTTGGGAGTTTGAGACCAGCCTGGCAAACATGGTGAAACTCCATCTCTACTAAACATACAAAATTAGCGGGTGTGGTGGCGCATGACTGTAATCCCAGCTACTCGGGAGGCTGAGGCAGGAGAATCACTTGAATCTGGGAGGCGGAGGTTGCAGTGAGTCAAGATCGTGCCATTGCATTCCAGCCTGAGTGACAGAGCAAGACTCCGTCTCAAAAAAAAAAAAAACAAAAAAACACAAAAATAACAGTCTAGGCCAGGTGTGGTGGCTCATGCCTGTAATCCCAGCAAGTTGGGAGGCTGAGGCAGGCAGATCACAAGGTCAGGGGTTCGAGACCAGCCTGGCCAACATGGCAAAACCCCATCTCTACTAAAAACACATAAATTAGCTGGGCGTGGTGGCGAGCGCTTGTAATCCTAGCTACTCAGGAGGCTGAGGCAGGATAATCACTTGAACCCGGGAGGCAGAGGTTGCAGTGAGCCGAGATCATGCCATTGCACTCAAGCCTGAGCGACGAGCAAGACTCCATCTCAAAAAATAAATAAATAGGCTGGACCTGGTAGCTCACACCTGTAATCCCAACACTTTGGGAGGCCAAAGCAGGTGGATCACAAGGTCAGGAGTTGGAGACCAGCCTGGCCAATATGGTAAAACCCCGTCTTTTCTAAAAAAAAAAAAAAATACAAAAATTAGCCGAGCATGGTGGCGCACACCTGTAGTCCCAGCTACTCGGGAGGCTGAGGCAGAAGAATCGCTTGAACCCAGGAGGCAGAGGTTACAGTGAGCTGAGATCATGCCACTGCACTCCAGCCTGGGCGAAAGAGCGAGACACCTTCTCAAAAATAAATAAATAAATAAATGTTTGTTTGTTTGTTTGTTTGTTTTTGAGGGGAGTTTTGCTCGTTGCTCAGGCTAGAGTGCAATGGTGCGACCTCGGCTCACTGCAACCTCTGCCTCCCGGGTTCAAGCAATTCTGCTTCAGCCTCCTGAATAGCTGGGATTACAGTCAGGCACAACCACGCCTGGCTAATTTTTTGTATTTTTAGTAGAGATGGAGTTTCTCCATGTTAGTCAGGCTGGTCTCAAACTTCTGACCTCAAGTGATTCAGCCACCTCGGCCTTCCAACTTGCCGGGATTACAGGCGTGAGCCACTGCACCTGGCCAAAAAACAGTCTTAATACTTTAGAATCCTGTCAGAGGCGTATGAACCAGAGCAACTCCATCTCGAATAGGGGCTGGGTAAAATGAGGCTGAGACCTATTGGGCTGCATTCCCAGACAGTTAAGGCATTCTAAGTCACAGAATGAGATAGGAGGTTGGCACAAGATATAGGACATAAAGACCTTGCTGATAAAACAGGCTGTAGTAAAGAAGCCGGCTAACACCCACCAAAACCAACATGGCCATGAGAATGTCCTCTGGTCATCCTCACTGCCACACTCCCATCAGCACCATGACCGTTTACAAATGCCATGGAACAACAGGAAGTTAGTCTATATGGTCTAAAAAGGGGAGGCATGAATAATCCAGCCCGTGTTTAGCATATCATCAAGAAATAACCATAAAAATGGGCAACCAGTAGCCCTTGAGGCTGCTCTGTCCGTGAAGCAGCCATTCTTTTATTCCTTTACTTTCCTAATAAAGTTGCTTTCACTTTACTCTATGGACTCGCCCTGAATACTTCCTTGGGCAAGATCCAAGAACCCTCTCTTGGGGTCTGCATCAGGACCCCTTCCCTGTAACACCTTTCTGGCAACCACTGAAGGGACTATAGTGCAGAAACCCCCAACCCAAAGGCTAACTCTGGGTAAGTGTTGGGGTCTGGTAACAATCATATGTAACATCCGACCCCAAAAAATCATGAAAAGTGGTTAAAACACTAGAGCAGGCTGGGTGCAGTGGCTCACACCTATAATCGCAGAATTTTGGGAGGCCAGGGTGGGCAGATCACTTGAGCCCAGGAGTTTGGACCAGCCTGGCTAACATGCTGAAACCTCATTTCTACTAAAAATACAAAAATTAGCCATGTGTGGTGGCGTGTACCTGTAGTCCCAGCTACTTGGGAGACTGAGGCAGGAGAATGGCTTGAGCCTGGGAGGCATAGGTTGTAGTGAGCAAGAGCATGCCACTGCACTTCAGCCTGGGCAACAGGAGTGAAACCCTGTCTCAGAAAAAAACAACATCAACAACACGAGAGCAATCGGATTTAAAACATACACTCCTTGGCCAGGTGCGGTGGCTCATGCTGTAATCCCAGCACTTTGGGAGGCCAAGGCGGGCGGATCACCTGAGGTCAGTAGTTGGAGACCAGCCTGACCAACATGGAGAAACCCCGTCTCTACTAAAAATACAAAATTAGCTGGGTGTGGCGGTGCATGCCTGTAATGCCAGCTACTCGGGAGGCTGAGACAGGAGAATTGCTTGAACCCGGGAGGCGGAGGTTTCGGTGAGCCAAGATCATGCCATTGCACTCCAGCCTGGGCAACAAGAGCAAAACTCTATCTCAAAAAAACAACAACAACAACAAAATACACCCCATTTCCCAGGAACGAGTGTTTTTTGTTGTTGCTGTTGTTTTTTCCCCGCTATTATGATGAATCATTTCAGCTACCTACTTTTTGTTTTAGTTTGTCAGTTTGATTGGATTTTGCCCCATGGGGAAGGAAAGGAGAGCAGGATGAGGGGCACAGCCAAGGCCTGGAATCCTGGCACTCACCTGCAGTCTGAGGCAGGTAACTTGGGCAGCTGCCTCTGAGGTGGTGATTTCCCTGAGATGTGGGGGCAGGAGAGAATTGGACAACCAGAGGGAAGATTGGTCTAACTGCAGCAGATTGGGTAGATAAGATAAGTGAGGCCCTGAAATGATCACATGCAATGGAAAAGTTCTTTAAAAAAAAAAAAAATTTTTTTTTTTTAATTAGCAGTCATGGTTCTGAGGTTTGGTTCCATGTGCCCTTTCCGTGTACTGCCTTCCGAGGTCCTGATTCTCACAGTCCCTTATTGGTTCCAATGGCCCAGGACCCCAGTCCTTGCCACCAGCATGATGGATCTTGTGAGTAGTCCTAGTTCCTACTCAGACCTGATCCAAAGGAGAAGTGGGCAGAGACCCAGGTTCCAGCTCCAGCACCAGCTGCCTCTGAGCCATTTCTGCTTCCTACCAGGTGAAGCTCCTGGGAGGGAAGGGGCCCAGGACCTGGAATGATAAAGCTCCCTGGAAAGCCAGCCATGGCCAGTCTGCAGCCCCTGGGGACTCTGTGAGAGTCTGGATGCAGACAGGCCAGGGGCTGCCACCTCAGGAAAGCTGAGGACCTCAATGTCCACTGGGAAGAGATGGGAGGGAGGCATGGTTCTAGGAGGGTACTGCTGGTCTGCCCTTCCATTCATCTGGGAATCCATTTCCTTGTGGAAAGTGCAATCAGAGAGGTTCTTCACATCCTTACAACAGTCTTAGTGGCCCCTTCTCTTTGGACTCTCCCAAGATGCAAAGAGTGTTTCCGGAGATTAGTAGGCTCAAGAAGGGAGGGGAGTTAGCAATAAATTTTGAACAATCTTCAAACACTTTGGGTAGCTCTTAAGGATGAACTTGTTCAGCTTCTGAGACAGGTGTGTGACAAGTAAGACTGTGACTGATCTTCAGAAGAGCCCTGAGAACAGGAGATCACCAGCAGCCAGGAGCTGTGGAAGGTTGCCTTGGGGGAGCAGGGGTCCTGCTAACCCAGCATAACTTCTATTCTTAAGGTAGTACCCAGAGCAGAGGTTCCCAAAACATGAAACACAGATGAGCTCCATCAAAATCACCTGAAAGCTCCATCAAATTCACCTGGAAAGCATCGATAGCCAAAGCCTGCCCCCTCTGCAGCCTCCACCCACTGAATCAGAAGAGGGTCCCGGAGATCTGCATTTCACTCTAAAAGGCAACCTCCAGTGCTCCTTAGACTTGCTTAGAAAATACTGTAAATCTGAAGACTTATACAACTCTAAGTGTCTCAGAAACTCAGGGTGAAGAATCACAAGTTCTCTACTACCCTGCCCCATTTTTAATCACACTCATCACAGACCACAGAGCACCTGGCAAACCCAGGAACGGTGGGTTGAAGATATGTTTTCTTCTAGCAGATTAAGAGCTGAGCAGAGTTTCCTGTGCCCTGTGCTTCATTAGCACATTGGTGGTGTCGTTTCCGGTGACTGACTCTCTGTTTCCATTCTGGCAAAGTGGTTTGCTCTTTTCACTCTGCTTTGGGTGTTGAAGGAAGACGAGCTTCTCACGGAGCCTCTCTTGAGCCTCTTGGCAGTTTCCCCCTCTGTGCCCCTCACGTTTCCACCAGAAACGTGAAGGCAGAGGCCACAGATTCTCCCTGAGCCACCTCACTTGGAAGCACCATGTCCGGATGAGATCGCACTTCCTGCAGTGGGCATTAGCCACGTCCAGGTAGAACCAAACCTGTTGCTTTTGTATGTTGGGTCAACTTGGCCTGACGTTTCAGAGGTAGACACGAGATAGGGAGTTTGTTGCGGGGGTGGGGAGAAGTGGTAGACATGCTGGCTAACTGATTATGATTAAGAGAAACTTAGAAGCTGAAGCCAGAGAGCATCTCAAAGGTTCCTGATACAATGGATGGTGTCACTCCAACCCTTTCGACAATCAGAGGGAGGACCTTGGAGTCCAGCACTCTGCATGTGACTCCCCGCAGCCTGGACAGGTGAGTGACTCAGGGTGGTGAGCTCCACCCTGCCCTGATTTAGGCAGAAGGTCCTAGTCCACCCTTAGGAGCTTCTTACACAGCAGTGCTGCCACCTCTCAACACCCAGGCTCGGTCTACTAAACCACCAAACTCTAGGCTTGGAGGCATTTGCTCAGGGGTGCTAGGGGGAAAGGAAGGTATTGAGGAAAGAAAGAAAATATTGTGGTAGAGGAAAAACTGTGATAACACTGGCCCTTAAAGCTAGTTGCTTAGACTGGTTGGATTTCTCACCTCTCGGAGGCCCTGAACCCTATCATCAGTCTTTCCTAGGTGTCACCATGACAGAAACAAAAGGCTGAGTTTTCCAAGGATGTGTTTTGAGATCCAAAAACTTGTCATGAATAAAAAATGTAGTGATAGATGTAATAAAGATACGTCCTTAGGACGTAAAATCTTACAGAACTAATCATGGGTATGAATTACTGCTACTACTTTCAATCTCATACAAACAAAATTAAAAATCCATCCACAGTTGAAACTTTAAAAACATTGGCAGCTGACTGGGCGCGGTGGCTCACACCTGTAACCCCAGCACTTTGGGAGGCCGAGTGGGGCGGATCACCCCCACTCTTGAACCAGCCTGGCCAAGACCAGCCTGGCCAACATGGTGAAACCCCGTTTCTACTAAAAATACAAAAATTAGCCGGGAGTGGTAGCATGCTCCTGTAGTCCCAGCTACTCAGGAGGCTGAGGCAGGAGAATCACTTGAACCCGGGAAACAGAGGTTGCAGTGTCATGTCATTGTACTCCAGCCTGGGCAACAAAAGCGAAACTCTGTCTCAAAAAATAAAATAAAATTGCAGTCGTTTGGGGAAATAAATGTTATTATCATGGCAAACACATGTCACTTGCTGGTAGATATGAGCATCAATGAGCAATGAATCAGAAGCCTGAAGCATCTCTCCAAAACTATTTCTTCATTTATTTTTATTTATTTCTAATTGGCAAATCAAAATTATATATATTTATCATGATAGCCTGTTGTTTTGAAATATGTATACATTGTACAATAGCTACATTAAACTAATTAAGATACACATTACTTCACAATTTTCTTTTGTGGTGAGAATACTTAAAATTTCTCAGCAATTTTCAAGAATATGACACATTTTTATTAACTATAGTCATCAACACTTTTTTTGTTTTGTTTTGTTTGTTTTTTTTATTTTTATTTTTTTAGACAGAGTCTCGCTCTGTCGCCCAGGCTGGAGTGCAGTGGCGTGATCTCGGCTCACTGCAGCCTCCACCTCCCAGGTTCAAGCTATTCTCCTGCTTCAGCCTCCTGAGTAGCTGGGATTGCAGGCATGTGCCACCACCCGCGGCTAACTTTTTTTTGTATTTTTAGTAGAGATGGGGTTTCTTCATGTTGGTCAGGCTGGTCTCGAACTCCCTACCTTAGGTGATCCGCCCACCTCTGTCTCCCAAAGTGCTGGGATTACAGGCATGAGCCACCGGGTCTGGACCATCAACACATTTTTATTAACTATAGGCATCATGTTATACAACAGATCCCTTGAATTTTTCTTTCTCTCTAACTGATATTTTGTACCCTTTGACCAACATCTCTGCAACCCCTCCCTGGTAACCACCATTCTACTCTCCACTTCTTTTTTTTTTTTTTTTTTTTTGAGACAAAGTTTCACTCTTGTTGCCCAGGCTGGAGTGCAAGGTTGCAATCTAGGGTCACTGCAACCTCCACCTCCCAGGTTCAAGCGATTCTCCTGCCTCAGCCTCCCCAGTAAATGGGATTACAGGCATGAGCCACCATGCCTGGCTAATTTTGTATTTTTAGTAGAGTTGGGGGTTTCTCCATGTTGGTCAGGCTGGTCTCGAACTCCTTACCTCAGGTGATCCGCCCACCTCCGCCTCCCAAAGTGCTGGGATTACAGACATGAGCCACCATGCCCCGCCTTGGTAGTTCTATTTTTAATTTTTGAAGAACCTCCATAGTGTTTTCCATAATGGCTGTACTACACTTAAAACTATTTCTATATTAATTCATTTGTTTATTAATTCATTCATTTAACAAATATTTATCAGGGCCCTACTAAGTACCAAGCACTGTTTAAGGCACTAGGTGAACAGGATAAACAAGTCCATAACCTCCTGAAGATTATAGACAAGTGGGAGAGTCAAATAATGAACAGAGCTGAGCGTGGTGGCTCATGCCTATAATCCAAGCCTTTGGTAGACCAAGGCAGGAGGATCAATTGAGCCCAGGAGTTCAAAACCAGCCTGAGCAACACATGGAGACCCTGTCTCAAAATTTTTTTTTTTTAAATAAAAAAATGATAAACAGATAAGCATATGAATGTATAATATCAATCAATCGGGCTGGGTGAGGTGGCTCACGCCTGTAATCCCAGCACTTTGGGAGGCCAAGGTGGGCAGATCACCCAAAGTCAGGAGTTCGAGACCAGCCTGACGAATATGATGAAACCCCATCTCTACTAAAAATACAAAAATTAGCCAGGCGTGGTGGTGCGTACCTGTAGTCCCAGCTACTCGGGAGGCTGAGGCAGAAGAATCACTTGGACCCAGGAGGGGGAGGTTGTGGTGAGCCAAGATCATGCCATTGCGCTCCAGCCTGGGAAACAAAAGCGAAACTCCATCTCAAAAAAAAAGATATATCAATCAGTCATCAGTGCTATGAAGAAAAAGTGGAGCACAGCAAGGGGACTGCAAGTAATAGGGTGTGGCCATGGAAGACGTGTCTGAGGAGATGACATTTGACGTTTCAGAAGAGACCTGAATGAGAGGGACTCAGCCATGCAGACAGCTGGGAGAGGAGGATTCCTGGGAGAGGGAGTGGCAGGTCTGACACAGAACTGTGCTCTGCATGGGCAAGGGATCCTGGCAGTCAAAGTCAGAGGGAAAGTGGTAGGAAATAAGGTCAGAGGTAAGCAGAGGCCAGATCATATCGTGCCGTCAAGTCCTCTCTGAGGAAGGACTATAGACTTTATTCTAAGTCACTCGAAGCCGGGGAGAGTGATGAGTAGAGGAGGGATGTGATCTGATTTACCATTTAGAATTATCACACTGGTTTTTGTGTGAAGACAACGAATGTTGAGGCCAAGAGTTAAAGCAAGGAGACCATCCAGGAAAGTTATTGCAAAGGTTCCTGTGAAATGCACAGCAGCTTAGACCCGAGTGGTGGCAACAGAGGAGCAAGAGGTGGTTGGGTTTGGGATAAATGCCCAGGGTAATGCAGCCAGAATCTGCTGGTTGACTGGAAGTGGGGCATGAAAGAAAAAGAGCTCCAAGAATGGCTCCAAGATTTTTGACTAAGCCATTAGATTATGGGAAACACCTGGGGAGTAGCAGGTTTATGTGGGGAGAACAGGAGCTCTGTTTTGGTTTGAGCTGTCTGTTAGGCAACTAGTTAGAAATGCTCACTAGAAACTTGGATGGGCTGGGCGCGGTGGCTCACACCTGTAATCCCAGCACTTTGGGAGACTGAGGCAGGCGGATCATTTGATGCCAGGAGTTCAAGACCAGCCTGGCCAACATGGTGAAATCCCATCTCTAATAAAAATACAAAAAAAATTAGCCGGGCGTGGTGGCGTGTGTCTATAGTCCCGGCTACTCAGGAGACTGAGGCAGGAGAATCGCTTGAACCTGGGAGGCAGAGGTTGCAGTGAGCCAAGATCATGCCACTGCACTCCAGCCTGAGCGACACAGCGAGACTCTGTCTCAAAAAAAAAGAAAGAAAGAAAGAAAGAAAGAAAGAAAGAAAGAAAGAAAGAAGGAAAGAAAGAAAAGAAAAGAAAGAAAGTTGTATAAATAAGCCTAAAACTCAAGGGGACAAAAACCTTCCCTGTTAAATGCCCTGGTTTCTAATAATTGGGGGTAGCACGTCAGTTCCTGATTCCCGCTGTAACTTCAGTTGGCAGCTTCCTGTTGCATTAGGCATAGCCATCTGGGGTTGTAATCATCTGGATGCATTTCAACACCCAAGCAAAACCGAGCAGTGACGCCAGCCCTGCCAGGGAATTGCAAGGTAGCACAGAACATGAATTGGTTAAACTTCACACAACAGCAGTGTGTTGCTTGGAGACCAGCTCCACAAATTGGTGCGGGGGGGGGGGCGGCGGGGGGTGGGGGGTGTTATTCAAGTTCATGCAAGCTGGACTCTGTCACAGAGCCACTCCTTAACTGTACGTTGGCTAATCCTCTCCTCCAAGCAAGCCAGGAAGCCCACGAGTAGGGAACAAGAAGGGGCAAGGCCAAATGACTTTGACTTTGCAGGTTTGGAGGACAGTGTGGCAGAGTGGAAAGAGCATGGTCTTTGGACGCAAACAGACCTAGATTCATATTCCTTCTCTGCTCCTTCCTACCTAGGTGATCTCTGACATGTTACTTTACCTTTCTGAGTCTAAAGCTCAGGTTACTTGGCCACAAAGTGTGATAGGATTGTTAAAGATTAAATAAGTTTCACAGGCCGGGCACGGTGGCTCACACCTGTAATTCCAGCACTTTGGGAGGCCAAGGCGGGCAGATGACAAGGTCAAGAGATTGAGACCATCCTGGCCAATGTGGTGAAACCCCGCCTCTATTAAAAATACAAAAATTAGCTGGGCCTCATGGCACGCTCCTGTAATCCCAGCTACTCTGGAGGCTGAGGCAGGAGAATGGCTTGAACCCAGGAGGCGGAGGTTGCAGCGAGCTGAGATTGTGCCACTGCACTCCAGCCTGGGCGACAGAGAAAGACTCCATCAAAAAGAAAGAAAGAAAGAAAGAGAGAGAGAGAGAGAGAGAAAGGAAGGAAGGAAGGAAGGAAGGAAGGAAGGAAGGAAGGAAGGAAGGAAGGAAGGAAGAAAGAAAGAAAGAAAGAAAGAAAGAAAGAAAGAAAGAAAGAAAGAAAGAAAGAAAGAGATTAATAAGTTTCACATGTGAATCCCTGGCACCCGGTAGGCATTTGAAAGGAATAGTTCCCTTCTCCCCTGTCCAAGTCCCCTCTCTCCATAAAGTCAATATTCAGAGATAACCCTCTCTTCCACCACACCCCACCTGGGCTTTCCTTCACTCGGCTCCCATTCCAAATCTTCAGGCTCTAACTCCAAAAGGAAATGTCTCCTCCAGCCTCTCCACCCTCCTACAGCTAGCACATGTCATTCGATTGTTTTTCTAGAAATAAAGACCAGATCACCAACATCTTTTCCGGGTTTGCGGGACTCCTCGCCATCCTCCTGGTCGTTGCGGTTTTCTGCATCTTGTGGAATTGGAATAAACGGAAGAAGCGTGAGTCCCTTGTTTGTCCTGAGTTGAGACACAGTAGGATTATTAATCTAGGCTGGAATTTAAAGCCCAGCTTATTTACCAGGGATAAACTATTGGCCTGGGGAGTCCTCAGTTCTTACCCGATACATTGGCCATTGCCTCACTCAAGATCCTGAACTGTGGCTCCAAAAGCCCAGTGCTGATGGAGTTCCCCTGGGAAAGACATTGCCCTGGTGCCCCTGTGTCCAGTTTCCTCTTTACGTTCTGTCCATCAAGTCCCCTGTTCCTCTCACTCAAATGAAAATTCCTGTAGCTTGAGTCTGAAAGGGTATTTTTGTGAGAACTGGCAAGGATGGGGAGCATTTTCAGGGGCCATCTCATTCCCATGAGTCTCTTCACTCTGTGCAGCTGACCCCCGCCATGACTCCCATCTCTCTCATTGCCTTGCAGGACAAGTTCCTTACCTCCGAGTTACCGTCATGCCCTTGCTGACTTTGCCACAAACCAGACAAAGAGCCAAAAATATTTATGACATCTTGCCTTGGCGACAGGAAGACCTGGGTAGGTTTTTCCTTCTAATCTATGGAGTCCAGATATTCGAACTTCTACTCCCAGAATGTGCCTCTCACCCTCCAGAAGCAATTTTCTTTAAGTTCTCAAACCTGTTTGCCCTTCAGAGAGTATCAGGGAGAATGGGATAGATAGACTGTCAGCTGCAACTCCAGGGGGGTCTGGAGGGCTCCAAAAAGGGAGCAGAGGGTCATCTGGGCTGGGAGTTTTGTTTTTTCTTAATGTTAAGGCAACAGAAGAAAGCCAAGTGTGTCCAGGCATAGGGAAGACACCAAGGAAGAGAACTCGGTGCCAGCATCACAGGCAGAGGATGGGGCAGGGAGGAGGTTCTCACACAGGAGCTTGTTTCTCAGCCTCCCAACCCCTGTGATAGCATCCTCCAGTGCCACAGAAGCTGAGGGGCTTCCGGTTCTCAGAGTGTCATCCCCATAACTCTGACCTCAGAACATGAGAGAACACCAGACCCAAGGCTGGAAATTCCAGACACCACGCAAACCCGCTTCATCCATGATGCAGGGATTATTTGGACTGAAGCACTCAGAGGACTGGCTATCTTCAGGATTTGTTCTCTGTCCTTTCAGGGAGACATGAGTCGAGGAGTATGCGCATTTTCAGTACTGAGAGCCTCCTCTCCAGAAATTCTGAGAGCCCGGAGCATGTGGTAAGAGTCAAGCTTCTTGGGAGAATGACATGTCTCTGGCAGAAGAACTGCGGGGAAAGAGTTATAGGGCTTAGATCTGGTTTCACTGCAAACAAACAGCATGCCCTTTGGCACTCGCCCTGCAGTCCTATTAATAAATTGGGAAGACTAGCCTCAGGATCTCCTATACCCAAAAAGAAAAATTAAGGACAGAGGCAAGTGCTTGGAGTTATAAAAAGGGCACCAGGGTACAGATATTCAAGTGCATAATGTCAGAACTAAAATTGATTGGTATATTTTTTTTTCTTTTTTCTTTTTTGAGATGGAGTCTTGTTCTGTCACCCAGGCTGGAGTGCAGTGGTGCGATCTCGGCTCACTGCAACTTCTGCTTCCCAGGTTCAAGCAGTTCACCTGCCTCAGCCTCCCAAGTAGCTGGGATTACAGGCATGCGCCACCACGCCCAGCTAATTTTTGTATTTTTAGTAGAGACGGGGTTTCACCATGTTGGCCAGGATGGTCTCAATCTCTTGACCTTTTCATCCACCCGCCTTGGCCTCCCAAAGTGCTGAGATTACAGGCATGAGCCACCGTGCCCAGCATTTTTTTTTTTTCTTTTTTTGCTCACTCCAACCTCTGCTTCCTGGGCTCAAGCAATCCTCCCACCTCATCCCCCCAAGTAGCTGGGACCACAGGCACACACCACCACGCCTGGCTAACTTTCATATTTTGTGTAGAGATGGGGTTTCACCATATTGCCCAGGCTGGTCTCAAACACCTGAGCTCAAGCAATCTGCCCGCCTTGGCCTCCCAAAGTGCTGAGATTACAGGTGTGAGCCACCATACCCTGCCAATTGATTGTTTTAACAAAGACATGACAACATGTTTATTCAAATGAATGTTGCTCCTTTCAAAGTGATCACCTCAGGAGGGTATGCAAATATTCCAACAATGCCATTGGTGCTCAAAACACACTTAAAAACCTGCTTTGGATATTACTTGCAGGGCTTATGTCAATTATTTCAATTACCCTCAGGAGCAGAAATATCTGTTAAGTCATTCAGCACTGTAGCTGATATAGAAAGTGTTTGATCAAATGAGGTTGTTATAGGACCAACAGGTTTGTGTGTCTGCTGCCCGGTAACAGAACATACACTGTCACTACTAAAAATACAAAATATTAGTCGGGCAGTGGTAGGAGGCACCTGTAATCCCAGCTACTCAGGAGGTTGAGGCGGGAGAATCGATTGAACACGGGAGGCAGAGATTGCAGTGAGCTGAGATTGCTCTACTGCACTCCAGCTTGGGCGACGAGAGCGAAACTCCTTCTCAAAAACAAAAATAAAAACAAACTTATGATGTAAATATTATGATAATCTTCATTTTATAAATTAGGAAATGAAGACACCGAGAGATTAGGTCAGGTGCTCATACTCACTTGGCACAAAGTGGTGAGGCTAGGATTTGTACCTTTAGTCTAAGCCTCACCTTTAGCCACTATGTTGTACTGCCTCTCAGTGGGCTCTTCAGTTGATAATATTTTCGTCCCACCCGCACCCCCCCACCAATTGATTCCCATACTGTGGCCAAAAACTAGTTGTGATTTATCATCACATTTGCACTGTTGCTCTTCTTTTTTTTTTTTTTTTTTTTTTTTTTTTCAGAATATGCCAGTGGTATTTTCCAAGAAGAAAGGCTTTGTCCATATTTCTGCTTGCATCTGACCACTGGCTTCCTTTTCTTCTTCATAGCCCTCCCAAGCAGGCAATGCCTTCCAGGAGCATACAGCCCACATCCATGCCACAGAGTACGCGGTGGGTATCTATGACAACGCCATGGTCCCCCAGATGTGTGGGAACCTCACTCCCTCGGCACACTGCATCAATGTCAGAGCTTCCAGAGACTGCGCAAGCATTTCTTCAGAGGATTCGCATGATTATGTCAATGTCCCCACAGCAGAAGAGATTGCTGAGACTCTAGCTTCTACCAAAAGCCCTTCCAGAAATCTCTTTGTTCTTCCCAGTACCCAGAAGCTGGAGTTTACTGAGGAAAGAGATGAGGGCTGTGGAGATGCTGGTGACTGCACCAGTTTGTATTCTCCAGGAGCTGAGGACAGTGATTCACTCAGCAATGGAGAAGGTTCTTCTCAGATCTCAAATGACTATGTCAACATGACAGGGTTGGATCTCAGTGCCATCCAGGAAAGGCAGCTCTGGGTGGCTTTTCAGTGCTGCAGAGACTATGAAAATGTTCCAGCAGCAGATCCCAGTGGAAGCCAGCAGCAGGCTGAGAAAGATGTGCCATCCTCAAACATAGGTCATGTCGAGGACAAGACAGATGATCCCGGGACCCATGTCCAATGTGTCAAAAGGACATTCCTTGCTTCAGGGGATTATGCAGACTTTCAGCCATTCACACAGAGTGAGGACAGTCAGATGAAACATAGAGAAGAGATGTCAAATGAGGACTCCAGTGACTATGAAAATGTGCTAACTGCCAAGTTAGGAGGCAGGGACTCTGAGCAGGGGCCTGGCACTCAGCTCCTTCCTGATGAATGAAGACCCAGGTACCCAGCCATAAAGCCACATTGAGTAGTCTATCCCATAGGATTGACTACTGCAGAGTCTAGTGCAGACCCGTGATCACCTTAGTGCTTCAGTGGATTCACTGGTTAGATTAAAAAGAGGCTGAGATGAGCAGTGAACTAAGAGGCCACACAAAAGCAGAGGTTTGGGAATTCCAGAAGGGAATTCTTCTCAAGCAGAGTGTGGTTATCTCCTGTACCAGCCTAAGAATGTTTGCTGAAACTGCTTCCTAGAACTGTGAAGAAAGCAGGAAAGTAGTGCACAGTAGTCTAAGATTATTACCTTCATTAATACCAACAGGCTGCAAAGCAAGAGTATAGATTATTGTATAATCCAGTCAGAGGTCAAAAGGAAGGAAGAAGTTGGAGTGGAGTGGGGTGGGCAATTTCCATTTTAAAGAGTGTAGGCAGGCCAGGTGCAGTGGCTCATGCCTGTAATCCCAGCATTTTGGTAGGCCGAGGAGGGCAGATCACTTGGTGCCAGGAGTTCTAGACCAGCCTGGCCAACATGACCCATCTTTACTAAAAATACAAAAATTAGCCAGGCGTGGTGGTGTGCCCCTGTAATCCCAGCTACTCAGGAGGCTGAAGCAGGAGAATCGCTTGAACCCGGGAGGTGGAGGTTGCAGCAAGCCGAGATTGTGCCACTGTACTCCAGCCTGGTGACAGAGCGAGACTCCCTCTCAAAAAAAAAAACAAACAAAAAAGAAGTGTGGGCAACCAAATGTAGGTAAGGATGAAGAAGAACAGGAACTCTCACTGGTGGCTGATGGGATTGCAAAGCGTCAGGGCAGCTTTGAAAAACTTTTCAGCAGTTTCTTATAAGCATAACTTATCATATGGCCCAGCCATTTCACTACTAGAAATTGACGCAAGTGAACTGAAAACTTATGTTCACACAAAAACTCGCACATGACTGTTTATAGCAGCTTCATTCATAATTACCAAAAACTAGAAATAACCCAGATATCCTTCAACAGGTGATTGGATAAGCTGTTGATATCCATTCCTTGAGTTTATCCATACTCAACAGTAAAAAATGAACTCTTGGTTCACACAATAATATAGACATATCTTAAATCCATTTTGCTAAGTGAAAGAAGCTAGGCCTAAAAGTCTACATGTTGGGCGATTCTATTTATATGACATTCTGGAAAAGGCAAAACTATAGGGATGAAGAACAGATCAGTTGTTGTCAGGTTTGAGAAAAGGAGGGAAGTTTGCTACAAAGGGGCTGCAAAGGGAATAGGCTGATGGAGCTGTTCTGTATGGTACTGTGTGGTGGATACATGACAATATCCATTTGCAAACACAAGAACTATACACATGGCCAGGCGCGGTGGCTCACACCCGTAATCCCAGCACTTTGCGGGGCCGAGGCAGGGGAACACAAGGTCAGGAGATCAAGACTGTCCTGGACAACATGGTGAAACCCTGTCTCTACTGTCTCTAACATTTGTAAACCTGTCTCTAATTTGTAATTTGTAAACCCTGTCTCTCATATTTGTAAAACTACAAAAATTAGCTTGGCATGGTGGTGTGCGCCTGTAGTCCCAGCTACTAGGAGGCTGAGGCAGGAGAATCACTTGAACCAGGAAGGCGGACTGCATTCCAGCCTGGGCAACAGAGAAAGACTCTGTCTCAAAAAAAAAAAAAAAAAAAAAAAACTGTACACTAGACAAAGGGGCTTTTATTGTATGCAAATTTTTTAAAAATGAACAGACTGTCAAGGGAACCCAGGATGGTATGCAAATTGTGGCAAATGAATCTAATTGTATTATAAATGTATGATATCAACTCACTGAAAGGGATGGGGAAAAAAGAACTGACAAAGTTGGAAAACAATGTTTTGACTTATAACTGTAGATAAGGACACAAAGAACTGTATACAAAAACTGCACTCTGGTTGGTAAATTTGTATCTCACAGAGGCATGGCTTAGCAATTCTAAAACGACTTTATATGTATATTTGGGTTAAATAAGTCAATCTATTGTAGATAAGGAGAGACAGGTTAGTGTAAGAATTGAATTGCAGGGCACCCAACTGGTGTCCAGAAAGCTGGAAAATTGGTCAGCTGTTGGGGGGAGAAAATCCACACATCTGGTGTCAGAAGTGTCGTGAGTGAAAACAGACCATCACTCCACCAAGTGGCCAGCATTTAAATTCATGCCACACAGAGGGAACCATGACAGTCTGGTACTGATGACCATGCAGGGTTAGCCAGGGCAGCAGCAAGCGCATCGAAAGGACAATCCCATAGTCAAGTAAGGAGAAGTTTGTATCATATGTGAGAATGAAGCTTAAATGGACTGAACAAAATCTTAAACATTGGCATGACAGAATTCTCATAACTAAGAGGGGATGAAAAGTTATGAGATCTAAATTAGAAGTTATGAAGACATCTGTCACCCAGTAAGGGTGGGAGGGACAACGTATCAGTTGGGGGCAGGTCCTGGAATAAACTAAGCCAGCTCTTTTTTATTTTTTGAGATGGAGCTTTGGTCTTGTCACCCAGGCTGGAGTGCAATGGCATGATCTTGGCTCACTGCAACCTCCACCTCCCAAGTTCAAGCAATTCTCCTGCCTTCGCCTCCCAAGTAGCTGAGATTACAGGCGCCTGCTACCATGGTAATTTTGTATTTTTAGTAGAGATGGGGTTTCACCATGTTGGTTAGGCTGGTCTCGAACTTCTGACCTCAGGTGATCCACCTGCTGTGGCCTCCCAAAGTGCTGGAATTACAGGCGTGAGCCACCACACTGGGCCTTAAGGCAGCTCTTGCTTGTTTACACACCAACAAGCTGGATACCTCAATCAGCCAGTCACACTTACATACTCTCCCAAATCAAGAATGATTAATGCACTGTAGATTGTCTCATATTTAGATACGTAACTTTTCTGTTTATTTCTTGTTTTAAGAAATTTTTGCAAATGAATCAATGAAAAATTTTTTATTGAATGTTAATTTTTTTCTTTCCATTTATGGTTTTGTTTTCTCACATTAGTTGCCAGGAAATGTTGACTAATTGTCTTATCTCATACACTCGATGATGCTAAATATGAGGAAATTTTTTCAAGATTAGGATAGGATGAAAAAGTAGATATAAAGATAACCAAGGCCAGGTACAGTGGCTCACGCCTATAATCCCAGCTCTGTGGGAGGCCACGGCAGGCAGATGACTTCAGCCCAGGGGTTCAAGACCAGCCTGGGCAACATGGTAAAACCCATCTCTACAAAAAATACAAAAATTAGCTAGACATGGTGGTGCCTGCCTGTAGTTCCAGCTACTCGGGAGGCTGAGGTGGGAGGATCACTTGAGCCCAAGAGGTTGAGGCTGCAGTGAGCCATATTCTTGCCTCTGCATTCCAGCCTGGGTGATAGCAAGACTCTGCCTCAAACAAACAAAGATAACTAACCCATTTTGATTCCTTAATTAGTTAAATAAAATGAATTAATTACCCAAACCTACATTATATTGATTGTGTCTTCATTCAGGATACTGTTTAGTACAAAATACAGAGGTTTGCTAAGTTCCCTCCTTCCCTCTAGAAGCACCCACCCTCTAATGGTGAATGGAAGATGAGGTCTTGCTGTCCCTCTGGCATCTGTTCTCCTTCAGCACCCCCTTACTATGACAGGCTTTATCGTCAATTCTGGGTTTCCTGTGGGCTGAGGGCCTATACTGACTTGCAAATATTTCCAGAAACTCTCAGTCAATAAGCCGGTGTCCTGCTCCCCTGAAGTTAGAGAGAAATGGAAGTAAACAGGCCTCCCTTTCCTCTTACCAATCGTTTCCTTCAGCATTCCCAGCTCCAGACTGGGAAGGTAGATGTCTGTTTCTACCCTGAAGAGTTAGGATCATTTCAGAAGAATATGACAACATAGCCAGAAAACTCTAACTTTTTCTTTTATCTCCGATGCTTCTTTGACTCTCCAGGGGAAATGAAAGGAACCTGAAGCCCTTCACAAGAGCGCAATTTCCCATGCAGGGCCAGCTTCCTGGACGTGCTGCCTAAGCAGTTGCATGGGGCCTGGCACTCAGAAGGGCCCTGCACTTGGTTTAATATTGTGATGTTGCCATCTTGAAATTCTTACCTTTGAAAGAAATTCTTATCTTTGAACTCGTGTTTTGTAAATGAAGTCTGTTGGGACAATGGAGAATGCACATGGGAAGAGAAGATACTCATAATATGCATGTCCATCATCCATTGCCTCCCATTTATATATAGTTTTTGCAGTGCCTTATGAGTAAAGAATTCTGGCAGACCCACATTTCATGGAAGTTCAGCATGATTCAGAGTGGGTAAGTCAGAGGCACTGGAACCAGAGCGACTCCATCTTAAATGGCAGCTGGGTAAAATGAGGCTGAGACCTGCTGGGCTGCATTCCCAGAAGGTTAGGCATTCTTAGTCACAGAATGAGATAGGTGGTCGGCACAAGATACAGGTCACAAAGACCTTACTGATAAAACAGGCTGCGATAAAGAAGCCAGCCAAAACCCATCGAAACCAAGATGGCGACGAGAGTGACCCCTAGTCATCCTCACTGCTCATTATATGCTCATTAGAATGCATTAGCATGCTAAAAGACACTCCTACCGGCACCATGACAGTTTACAAATGCCATAGCAATGTCTAGAAGTTACCCTCTATGGTCTGAAAGGAAGATGAACCTTTAGTTTTGGGAAATCTCCACCCCTTTCCCAGTAAACTAATGAATAATCTGCCCCTTGTTTAGCATATGATCAAGAGATAAACATGAAAGGCCAGGCGTGGTGTCTCATGCCTGTAATCCCAGCACTTTGGGAGGCCGAGGCAGGCAGATCACTTGAGGTCAGGAGTTTGAGACCAGCCTGGCCAGCATGGTGAAACCCCGTCTCTACCAAAAATAGAAAAATTAGCCAGGTGTGGTGGCACACACCTGTAATCCCAACTACTTGGGAGGCTGAGGCAGGAGAATCACTTAAACCTGGGAGGCAGAGGTTGCAGTGAGCCAAGATCACTGCACTCTAGCCTGGGTGACAGAGCAAGACTCTATCTCAAGAAAAAATAAATAAGTAAAAAATAAAGCTGGCATTAGGCTGGGCACTGTGGCTCATGCCTGTAATCCCAGCACTTTGAGAGGCAGAGGCAGGCAGATCACCTGAGGTCAGGAGTTCGAGACTAGCCTGGCCAACATGGTGAAACCCCATCTCTACTAAAAATACAAAAATTAGCCAGGCTTTGTCACGGGCACCTGTAATCCCAGCTACTTGGGAGGCTGAGGCAGGAGAATTGCTTGAACCCAGGAGGCGGAGGTTGTAGTGAGCCGAGATTGCTCCATTGCACTCTAGCCTAGGTAACAAGAGTGAAACTCTGTTTCAAAAAAATAAAAAATAAAAAAATAAAACCATAAAGCTGGCATTGCACAATATAAAGATGAAGTCATGCTAACTATGTTAAATGCTAATTTTCTTGGCTGGGCATGGTGGCTCATGCCTGTAATCTCAGCACTTTGGGAGGCTGAGGTGGGTGGATCACCTGAGGTCAGAAGTTCGAGACCAGCCTGGCCAACATGGTGAAACCCCATCTCTACTAAAAATACAAAAATTAGCTGGGCATGGTGGCGTGTGCCTGTAATCTCACCTACTGAGGAGGCTGAGGCAGGAGAATTGCTTGAACCCGGGAGGCAGAGGTTGCAGTGAGTCGAGATCCCGCCATTGCACTCCAGCCTGGGCAACAAGAAGGAAACTCCGCCTCAAAAAAAAAAAAAAAAGTTAATTTTCTTTACTTAGAATGGCATTAAATAGTAAATTTAAAACACCATGTCAAGAAAGACTAGATAGGCTGGGCGCGATGGCTCACGCCTGTAATCCCAGCACTTTGGGAGGCCAAGACGGGCGGATCACGAGGTCAGGAGATTGAGACCATCCCGGCTAACACGGTGAAACCCTGTCTCTACTAAAAATACAAAAAAAAAAAATTAGCCGGGCGTGGTGGCGGGCACCTGTAGTCCCAGCTACTCGGGAGGCTGAGGCAGGAGAATGGCATGAGCCCGGGAGGCGGAGCTTGCAGTGAGCCCGAGATCGCGCCACTGCACTCCAGCCTGGGCTACAGAGCGAGACTCCGTTTCAAACAAAAAAAAGAAAAGAAAAGAAAAAAGAAAGACTACATATAGGGATGTCCAATCTTTTAGCTTCCCTGGGCCACATTGAAAGAAGAATTGACTGGGCGCAGTGGCTCACGCCTGTAATCCCAGCTGTTTGGGAGGCCGAGGCGAGAGGATTACCTGAGGTCAGGAGTTCGAGATCAGCCTGGGCAACACGGTGAAACTTCATCTGTACTACAAATACAGAATTAGCCGGGCGTGGTGACACATGCCTGTAATCCCAGCTACTCGGGAGGCTGAGGTAGGAGAATCGCTTGAACCTGGGAGGCGGAGGATGCGGTGAGCCAAGATCACGCCCTTGAACTCCAGCCTGGGCAACAAGAGTAAATCTCCATCTCACCAAAAAAAAAAAAGAAAGAAGAAGAATTGTCTTGGACTACACATAAAATATGCTAACACCAATGATAGCTGATAAGCTAAAAAACAAAAAACAAAAAACAAAATCTCCAAAAAATCTCATGTTTTAAGAAAGTTTATGAATTTGAATATGTGTTGGGCTATTTTCAAAGCCATCCTGGGCTGCATGGAGCCTGCAGGCTGTGGGTTGAACAAGCTTGGACTAGAAGAAAGGGGAAAGCTTTATATTTTAGCACCTTTAACAGTATGTTTTTTTTTTTTTTTGAGACGGAGTCTCGCTGTGTTGCCCAGGCTGGAGTGCAGTGGCGTGATCTCAGCTCACTGCAAGCTCCGCCTCCCGGGTTCACGCCATTCTTCCGCCTCAGCCTCCCGAGTAGCTGGGACTACAGGTGCCCGCCACCATGCCCGGCTAATTTTTTTGTGTTTTTAGTAGAGATGGGGTTTCACCGTGTTAGCTAGGATGGTCTCAATCTCCTGACCTCGTAATCCGCCCGTCTCTGCCTCCCAAAGTGCTGGGATTATAGGCGTGAGCCACCACGCCCGGCCTGTTTTTTTTTTTGTTTTTTTTTTTTTGAGAGGAGTTTTGCTCTGTCACCGAGACTGGAGTACAATGGCACGATCTCGGCTCACTGCAACCTCTGCCTCCCGGGTTCAAGCTATTCTCCTGCCTCAGCCTCTTGAGTAGCTGGGATTACAGGCATGTGCCACCATGCCCAGCTAATGTTTGTATTTTTAGTAGAGGAGGGGTTTCACCATGTTGGTCAGGCTGGTCTCAAACGCCTGACCTCAGGTGATCTGCCAGCCTTAGCCTCCCACAGTGCTGGGATTACAGGCGTGAGCCACCATGCCCAGCCAACAGTATTTTTTTTCTATTTTGTGAACAAGTGTTTCCACATTTTCATTTTGCACTGGGCCCTACACATTATGTAGCCAGCCCTGGGCCCACGGGCCTGCCCTCCCTGCCCTCATGCTTATGTGCTTATTTGAGTCTCTTCTCAGGAATGTGGACGTCCCACCTCTCTACTCCAACTGAGGAAAACACATCCTTTCTCACAAAAAGAGCTCCTGCTCTCTTTCCTTCACTCTCCCCAGCACGCTGTGCCCCAAGCCGAGATCACACCACTGCACTCCAGCCTGGGCGACAAGAGTGAGACTCCACCTCAAAAAAAAAAAGAGGACTTTGCAGGTATGAGTAAAGGTCTTGAGATGAGGAGACTATCCTGGATATCAGAGTGGGCCCAATGTAATTAGAAGAGGCCTCCCAGGTTCAAGCAATTCTCCTGCCTCAGCCTCCTAAGTAGCTGGGATTACAGATGCATGCCACCATGCCCGGCTAATTTTTGTATTTTTAGTGGAGACAGAGTTTTACCATGTTGGCCAAGCTGGTATCGAGCTCCTGACCTCAGGTGAGCCGCCCGCCTAGGCCTTCCAGAGTGCTGGGATTACAGGCATGAGCCACTGCGCCTGGTCTTACAAAATCCTTTTTACCATGCAAGGTAACACAGTCACAGGTTTCAGGGATTAGGATGTGAACATCTTTGTTGGGGGGCATTATTTTATCTACTACAATGACATAATTTAATATGTCTGATGATAGAAGAACATGATAATATCTGAAGCCCTGTGGTCAGATTCAGAGAAGTAAAAAGATGAGCATACGTAGGCATGCACACAAATCTAGGTTTCTAAAGGAGAAACGAGGGCCGGGGACAGTGGCTCACGCCTGTAATCCCAGAACTTTGGGAGGTCGAGGCGGATGGATCACGAGGTCAGGAGATCGAGACCATCCTGGCAAACACAGTGAAACCCCATCTCTACTAAAAATATAAAAAATTAGTTGGGCATGATGGCACGCACCTGTAGTCCCAGCTACTTGGGAGGCTGAGGCAGGAGAATCGCTTGAACCCAGGAGGCAGAGGTTGCAGTGAGCCTAGATTGCACCACTGCATTCCAGCCTGGGCGACAGAGCCAGACTCCGTCTCAAAAAAAAACAAACAAGAAAAAGAAGAAACGAGGAAGTGGAAAAAAAGGCTGTTGGGCCTGAAACATTTGCTGGTTTCTTGATAAATTAATTTCTTTTTTTCTTTTTTTTTTTTTTGAGACAAGGTCTCGCTCTTGTTGCCCAGTCTGGAGTGCAATGGCACAATCTCAGCTCACTGCAACCTCTGCCTGCCAGGTTCAAGCGATTCTCCCATCTCAGCCTCCCAGGTAGCTGGGATTACAGGCGCCTGCCACCATACCCAGCTAATTTTGTATTTGTAGTAGAGATGGGGTTTCATCATGTTGGCCAGGCTGGTCTCAAACTCCTGGCCTCAAGTGATTTGCCCAAGTCAGCCTTCCAAAGTGCTGGGATGACAGGCATGAGCCACCGCAGATGAACTGATTTATATTATGTATCAGATACGGCATTCATTTAAGGAAGATGTTTCTTCCCTGGAGCTCATAGCAAACATCAAAGCAGAAGCCAGCCACGTAAAGCCATCATTGCTCAGAGAGACACCAGGCAGACACATCAGGGGAGGTCTCTACGTGGCTAAATAAATGCTAGGTCCATAAGTAAGCTGTACTCAGAAGCAGAGAATCTCTGACAAAGTTTGAGTTTGCCGCAGGTGTCCTGGAAAACTGACTCTGTAAGAGGGGGAAGCCCATTCTTGACAATCTCAGGTCAAGACATAATTCTCCAAGTTTCTTGTGGGATTTCACATGAAAAGAATGTGTATTCAACTGCTGTTGAGCAAAATGCTTTGAAAACATCAGTGAACTCAAGCTGGTTGACAGTGTTTGTTGTTCAGGTCATCTATATCTTTACTGATGTTCCATCTACTTGTTCTATCAATTGCTCAGAGAAGAGTGCTGATGGATTCAAATATAATTGTGGATTTCTCTGTTTTTCCTTTCAGTTCTACCTCCGTAAAGCCTTCATGGGTTTTGAAGCTCTATTGTTAGTTGCATGCATATTTAGGATTGCTAATGGCTTCTTGGTGAATTGACTCCTTTGTCATTATTTAATGCCCCTCTTTATTGCTGGTAATATTCCTTGTTCTGAAGTCTATTTATCTGATATTAATATAGCCTCTCCTGCTTGCTTGCTTGCTTGCTTGCTTGCTTTGACTTAGAAAATGTTTCAAAGGGCCAGGCATGGTAGCTTACCCCTGTAATCCCAGCACTTTGGGAGGCCAAAGCAGGTGGATCACTTGAGGCCAGGGGTTTGAGAAAAGCCTGAGCAACATGGTGTAACCCCATCTCTATGAAAAAATACAAAAATTAGCCAGACATGGTGGTGTACACCTGTATGTAGTCCCAGCTACTCAGGAGGCTGAGGTGGGAGGATCACTTGAGTGCAAAAGGTTGAGGCTGCAGTGAGCTGAGATCACACCACCGCACCCCACCCTAGGCAACAGAGCAAGATCCTGTCTCAACAACAACAACAACACACAGTTAAATGAGGGGAGAAAGAGGAAACTGCCAAGGAACTAGAGAATGAGCAGCCAGAGAGTTTGGGGAAAAAAAACAGGATAGAATTTTGTCTTGGCCAGGCACAATGGCTCACACCTGTAATCCCAGCACTTTGGGAGGCTGAGGCAGGCAGATTACTTGAGACCAGGAGTTTGAGACCAGCCTGGCCAACAGAGCAAAACCCTATCTCTACAAAACATACAAAAATTAACCAGGTGTGATGGCGGGCGCCTGTGGTCCCAACTACTCAGGAGCTGAGGCATGAGACTCATTTGAATCTGGGAGATGGAGACTGAAGTGAGCTGAGATCATGCCACTGAACTCCAGCCTGGGTGACAGAGTGATACTCTGTCTCAAAAAAAAAAAAAAAAAAAAAAAACATGAAAGAATTTTGTCTTTTAGATGAAGGGAGGGGAGTTTAAAGAAAATGGTGGATGAGGTCAAATTTTTGCATATTGATTTGTAGTTGGACAGACCTGGTTTACAACTTTCCTTTGCCACTTCCCAGCAATGACACTTTTAACAAGTCACTAGAAGTTTATAAACATTTGTAAGAAGAGGTTAATAATCATACTTATTTTATAAAGTTATTGTGTGGATTAAATTAGATAATGTAAATAAAGCTATTAACACAGTGCTGGCACATAATAAACTATCAATAAATGCTGGCTAATAACATGAAGAAAAATAAAAACTGAAAAGGATCTATTCAATTTAAAACTAATGACTTTACCACAGTAATTTCAGGGAATCCATGAGAACATACACCCAAATGAAACAGATTAAAGAGTGTATGAGAGCCAACAAAGCAGTCAAGGAAATTGGAAGGAAGATAAGATGAGAAATTAGGAGTGCCAGAGGGAAAGGCAAGATTGAGCATAATAGAATAGGATGCATGTATGTTACTAGGCTTTGGGGAACAACTAGAGTGGGATAAATTAAGCTGCGAGATAAAGAGGGGATAACAGATAGGACCAAGAGGGACCACTCATTGATGCTTTCACTGACTATTGCAGTCACTTCTGCCCAACATCACCACTAGTTCAGTATTTCTGAAACACAACTTTGCTAATGTCACATCTTCTACCATTTTGTCTCCATTTCAAAGCCTTCCAGGAATTCTTGTCGCCAATGGAGTATGATCCCGATGCCTTCTCAACATTCAAAACCGTCTACAATCTAACTCAAACCTACCTTTACAATGTCCTCTCCTCCTGTAACCTGTGAGCTCTTCTCCATCATCCCTTCAGGGATCTCTGTAATATAATTTCTTTCTTCCTTGAAGTGGTTTGGCTATGTCCCACCCAAATCTCATCTTGTATTTGCACGTGTTGTGGGAGGGACCCATAATTGAATCATGGGGGCAGGTCTTTCCCATGATGTTCTCATGATAGCAAAGTTTTAAAGGGATCTGATAGTTTTAAGAAGGGGAGTTTCCCTGCACAAGCTCTCTTCTCTTGTCTCCCGCCATGTGAGATGTGCCTTTCACCTTCTACCATGATTGTGAGGCCTCCCAAGCCACAATTCCCTTATATTGGAGTAAGTCCAATAAACCTCTTTCTTTCTTTTAAAGTGCCCAGTCTCAGGTATGTCTTTATCAGCAGTGTGAAAACACTAATACACTCCTCTTCACTTACCTCTCACCTCTGCCCAGGTTAAGGTTAAGCTCAAGTCTCACCTGCTTCAGAAAGTACTTCCTGAAACACCATTTTCCAATGACCATCTCCTCCTTTCTAACTCCGCTAGAACTGAAGTAAAGGGTGCCCATGCCCATAAAATGATTATTTTGTTGTTCTGTTTGAATTAAGTGCTAAATTTACAAATCAGAAACTTTCACTAAAAATCTGAATTCTTAGCTTTTCTTGAAAAATCAGAAGATGCAGCAACACAGGGACTGATTACCTCTCTTTTTTTTTTTTTGAGACGGAGTTTCACTCTGTTGCCCAGGCTAGAGTGCAGTGCTCCATCTCAGCTTACTGCAACCTCTGCCTCCCGGGTTCAAGCAATTCCCCTGTCTCAGCCTCCTGAGTAGCTGGGACTACAAGTGCACACCACTATGCCCAATTAGTTTTTTTTTTTTTTTTTTTTTTTTTTTAGTACAGACGAGGTTTCACCATGTTGGCCAGGCTGGTTTCAAATTCCTGACCTCCTGACCTCAAATGGTCCAGCTGCCATAGCCTGGGATCACGCCAGCTGCCTCAGCGGTGGCTCACGCCTGTAATCCCAGCACTTTGGGAGGCCAAGGGAGGTGGATCACCTGAGGTCAGGTGTTCGAGACCAGCCCGACCAACATGGAGAACCCCCCGTCTCTACTAAAAATACAAAATTAGCTGGGCATGGTGGCTTATGCCTGTAATCCCAGCTACTTGGGAGGCTGAGGCAGGAGAATCGCTTGAACCTGGGAGGCGGAGGTTGTGGTGAGCTGAGATCCTGCCATTGCACTCCAGCGCAGGCAACAAGAGTGAAACTCCATCTCAAAAAAAAAAACTGTAATCCCAGCACTTTGGGAGACCGAGGCAGGCAGATCACTTGAGGTCAGGAGTTCAAAACCAGCCTGGCCGACACGGCGAAACCTCATCTCTACTAAATATACAAAAATTAGCCAGGCATGGTAGCAGGTGCCTGTAATCCCAGCTACTCGAGAGGGTGAGGCAGGAGAATCACTTGAACCTGGGAGGAGGAGGTTGCAGTAAGCCAAGATCACGCCATTGCATTCCAGCCTGGGTGACAGCAAGACTCCGTATCAAAAAAAACCTACATACAGTAAGGTTCTCATTTAATATTATCAATATGTTCTTGGAAACTTCAACTTTAAGTGAAACAGTGATAGCAAAACCAATTTTACTATAGGCTAACTGATATAAACAAAAGTTGAGTTCCTACAGCATATTTCTGGTCATATAAATATCCTCAAACATATTTCTTTTAATTTTAATTTTTTTAGAGATGGAGTCTCACTCTGTCACCAAGGCTGGAGTGTAGTATCATGATCATAGCTCACTGCACCCTCAAATTCCTGGGTTCAAGTGATCATCCTGCCTCACTCTCCCAAATAGCTGAGGCAATGGGTGTGCATCACCATGCCCCACTAAATTTTGTATTTTTTTTGTTTTTTTAAAGACAGGGTCTTGCTGTGTTGCCCAGGCTCAAACTTCTAAATAAAGACCAAAACATTGAACATTAAACATTCAATATTAAACACTGAAATAAATGCGAGTTATAGATACATTTAAGAGAGGTCAGTAGGCTGGGAGCAGTGGCTCATGCCTGTAATCCCAGCACTTTGGGAGGCTCAGGCCAGTGGATCACTTGAGGTCAGGAGTTCGAGACCAGCCTTGGCCAACATGGTGAAACGCCCTTGTATTAGTCAGGGTTCTCTAGAGGGACAGAACTAATGGAATAGACACACATATAAAGGGGAGTTTAATAAGTATTAACTCACACCATCACAAGGTCCCACAATAGGCTGTCTGCAGGCTGAGGAGCAAGGAGAACCAGTCTGAGTCCCAAAACCGAAGAACCTGGAGTCCGATGTTTGAGGGCAGAAAGCATCCAGCAAGGGAGAAAGGTGTAGGCTGGGAGGCTAGGTCAGTCTCTCTTTTCACATTTTTCTGCCTGCTTATATTGTAGCCATGCTGGCAGCTGATTAGATTGTGCCCACCCAGATTAAGGGTGGGTCTGCCCTTTCCCAGGCCAGCACACTGATTCAAATGGTTTTTTTTTTTTTTTTTTTTTTTTTTTTTTGAGATGGAGTCTCACTCTGTCGCCCAGGCTGGAGTGCAGTGGCACAATCTCGGCTCACTGCAAGCTACACCTCCCGGGTTCACGCCATTCTCCTGCCTCAGCCTCCCCAGCAGCTGGGACTACAGGCACACGCTGCCACGCCCGGCTAATCTTTGTATTTTTAGTAGAGACGGGGTTTCACTGTGTTAGCCAGGATGGTCTGGATCTCCTGACCTTGTGATCCACCAGCCTCGGCCTCCCAAAGTGCTGGGATTACAGGCATGAGACACCGCGCCCAGCCTCACTGATTCAAATGTTAATGTCCTTTGGCAACACCTTCACAGACACACCCAGGATCAATAGTTTGTATTGTTCAATCCAATCAAGTTGACACTCAGTATTAACCATCACACCCGTCTCTACTAAAAATATAAAAATTAGCTGGGCATGGTGGCAGGCACCTGTAATCCCAGCTACTCAGGAGGCTGAGGCAGGAGAAACACTTGAACCCAGGAGGTGGAGGTTGAGTGAGCTGAGATTGTGCCACCACACTCCAGCCTGGGTAACAGAGCAAGACTCTGTCTAAAAAAAAAAAAAAAAAAAAAAAATTAGTAAGAACAAGCTAAGTATTTACCCAGTTATTCCATTTCAGGGCCTTGGTAGCTGGATCTTATCCCAGCAGCTCAGGGAGAAGAGCAGAAACCAAACCTGGACAGGCTGCTGCTATTCCATCACAGGGTACACTCACATCCAGGCTCACTAAGACTGGGATCATTTAGACATACCAGTTCACCTAATTTGCACATCTTTGGGATGTGGGAGGAAACTGGAGTACCTGGAGAAAACTCACACAGACACGAGTGAAATGTGTAAAATCCACCCAGACAGTGTACTCGGCCTGGAATTGATTTATTTTTTCCTCATCATCATTTTAATGAAATGACATTGAATGAAACAATGTTATTTGAGGACCAAGTAAAAAATCCTTATGAGGAAATAAAACAGCAAAAGGATGCATTGGAAGCATTGGAAGGGGAAGGCAGGCCTAGAAGTGTTGATTTTTGATGATACCAGTTCAGATCCCACAGTCAGAGAAAGAAGTTTAAATTGTGTCATCCGCAGTTAGTAAGTTATTTGTGACTCCTGTCTAAGGCTTCTCGGTAGAATGCTCTGTTAGTCACTATCTTCTCACACATGTCAGACAGCTGAGACCCAAAGGCAGGGATAAAAAGAGGCAAGATGAGACTGGGCGCGGTGGCTCACACCTGTAATCCCAGCACTTTGGGAGGCCAAGGTGGGCGGATCACCTGAGGTCAGGAGTTCAAGACCAGCCTGGCCAACATGGTGAAACCCCGTCTCTACTGAAAATACAAAAAAAATTAGTTGGGCATGGTGGCAGGCGCCTATAATCTCAACTACTCGGGAGGCTGAGGCAGGAGAATCGCTTGTACCTGCGAGGCAAAGTTCGCAGTGAGCTGAGAGCGCGCCATCGCACTCCAGCCTGGGCAGAAGAGTGAAACTCTGTCTCAAAAACAACAACAATAACAACAACAAAAAGGCAAGATGATGGACAGTGGTGATGAACACTGTGGGGGAAGGGACTAGCTACTCACATGGTGGTTTCTCTCCCACTCCAATCTCTCATGTCGGGTAGTACAGACACAGGGCTACCCTCAGTTTGTAAAGCCCGCAGGGTGGACTAGAGCCTCAGGGTGAAGGCTGGGTCAGCATTTGAATCCAGATTATATGAGAGTCAACACATCCTACTACCGATCTGCTATGCAAATAATGAAGCTTAACCTTCAGGTACCCTTTCTTTCACAAGCTCCCTTCAAGGCTCTGGACAGGGCCTTAGCAATGCAGTCATTCTAAAACTTGCAAAAGTAAGATTTTAATGACAATGGTTAAAAGCCCTGTTTCTTTTCACTCAGCTGTCCTTTCTAGTACCTTCCCCTTATTGGGCATTTTGGGATCTGGCTAAAAGGGGGTTGGGATGCAATTATTTTGGGTTATATTTATGTGATTTACAGTCACTTTCATGGGGCTAGAAATAGTTTTCAAGAATACCCCTGTTGCCCACTGTAGTGACTCATCTAGCATTATGACCCAATGTTGTAGGGCCAGAGGTCACATTTTGTTTTAAACCTGCCCTACAGCATCTGGCACTGGAAGAATGTAAATCATTGAGGGGTGACAAGGTTTGAAACATATGGCATCAGAGGCTAGTCTGTGGAAAATTCTTCACACGTCTAAAATT